>NC_000002.12:26757120-26909870 GCF_000001405.40 Homo sapiens | reverse complement strand
TAAAGGTGGCTTCCCAGGTTACCTAATCATGTTCTCCTCTTTCTAGACATATTCTTCCCAACAGTGGAGTTCACTAACATTTACCAATTTTTTTTTTGTTTTTAGACAGGGTCTTGTTCTGTCACTGGAGTGCAGTGGCATGATCATAGCTCACTGCAGCCTCAAACTTCTGAGCTCAAGTGAGCTCAAACTCCTCCTGCCTCAGCCTCCCTAGTAGCTAGGTCTATAGGTACACACCATCATGCTTGGCTAATTTTTGTATTTTTTGTAGAGATGGGGTTTCACTATGTTGCCTAGGCTGGTCTTAAACTCCTGGCCTCAAGTGATCCTCTTGCCTTGGCCTCCCAAAGCTTTGGGATTACAGGCGTGAGCCACCGAGCCACTGAGCCCCGCCTTGTTTAATTTTATTTTAAAATATTAATTGAGAATACTGTGGATCGTTTAAGTCTAAACAGGAAAATTATTTATGAATTAGGGGTAGTATTTATTAATCTCTAATGGTACTTCCAGCTCTAAAATTGTGTGTGTGAGAGCGAGTGTGAATGTGAGATGGTGTGTGTGATGTGTGTGCAATATGAGTGAGAAACAATGGTCAGTGAGAACGTTCTTACAGTAGTTGGCCCACAGTTTTATATTCGTTTAGTTACTAATTAAAGATCCTTATAGGGCTTCAGTTTTAGTCAACAAGAAACAAAAAAGCATCAGAAGGAGAGAAAAATGTGGCTGGCTGCAGTAATCACCCAAGGGAACAATGAGGCTGAAACTATCCAGGGGAGATGATCTGGCACCTACGCAAATTTCTACCTGTAAATGAACCAAGATATGTCCCTTATTTTCAACACAAATATGGCAACTTCAAAGGTAACCTCTGTGAGGTTTGGGAGAACAGATATTTCCAATTGAGAAAAGGCCATATTCAAATATTTCTTGAAATATTAAAAAAGATACAAGCTTAATTTAAGAAAAGAAAAAGAGGAAGAAGGGAGAAAAATGGAAGAAGACAGAAAAATGGCATTCATGTGCAATATGTATCATTGAAGTGCACATACAGTATATATTTTTCTTCTTCCTTTTTTCCTTTTATAAATTCCAGTGGATGACAGCATAAAGCAAAGCTTCTTGTACTAAGCACGAAAGATTGCCAAGACACTTGGCCTCAATCACAGAGGGTGTATTTATTTTATTCTGAATCAAAGGTTTTAAAAATGCAATAATCTGCATTGATAAATTCTTTGCAAACACTATTCTAGAAGTTGAGGAGCTGCTTGGTCACCATAGGAGGTTTTTTCCCAATACCAGAGATACAAATTTATAAGAAACGATAGATCTCCTCATTCACATCAGTTCTAAGAAGGATCAACCTGGCCTACATTTTGGCCTACCAATTAATGTACACGTAGAATGAAAGTTGCCAGCAAGGTTTTGTTAAGCAAGTAGCTGGTTTGAAGCAGGACACCTTTAAATAGCTCCTGATGCCTGCAGAGTTTATTGCTGGCTATTTCTGCCTTTAAGAGAAAGAGAGAAGACAGAAAATTATCTAGAATTTATCACTATTACTATCAGACTCTGTTTGAAATCTAAAACACACACAGAAATTCGAACGCTAGGAATGAAATCCAGTTCTTTCAGTTCCTATTTGATGCTTAACTGTTTTATATGTATGCTCGTACAAATGGATTTTTAAGGGATCTGACTTTGATCAACATGATCTATTTATTTATTTAACAAACATTCACATAATGCTTAATAAGCACCAAGTATTCTTTTAAGTTCTTTACAAATAATAACTCAATTAGCACTTTTAAAGACATACGACAATGGAGGAACAGAGAGATTAACTTGCCCACATGACATAGCAAGCAAATGTGGAGCTGAAATCCGAACTCCAGCATTCATAGCCCCAGTCTGTGCTGATAACTCCCACTCCATGCTGACATCCATTTCTTGGATGTCGACTACACCGTTAGGGCTACGCGGGCTCTGTGGCTAGTCACAAGTTAAATCGTGGTCTCTGCTCCTCAAAGGGTCTTCAATCTTGTTGAGAAACAAACTTAACATGGGAAACAATTTGAAAGCCCTAGGATGACAAGTTATTTCAGCTGGCGAGAAGAAAGTGACATCCTGGAGCTGGGTTAGCTGGAGGAGGAGTGCCACGAGAGGCTGTTCGCCTTGAAGGAGGGGCTCTGTGCAGGGGTGGAGAGAGATGGCAACAGGCAGCATGGGGTGTCCATGGAGGGCATCTTCCTGATGGATGGGTGCGTGTGGGGAGCAGCTGGCCATGATGGGTCGATGGGAGGGCAAGGTCAGATCAGGGGTTGCCCAGGGGGAAGATCCATACATCCAAACTTGATGTCTTAGACAACAGGGAGCCATTGCAGGGACACGACATCAGGCATAGAGAGAGCCGTGAGATGAAGGGGGGCCAAGGTGATTTTTTATTTTAAAAATGTAAATGTGGGCTGGGCGCAGTAGCTCATGCCTGTAATCCCAGCACTTTGGGAGGCTGAGGCTTATGGATCACTTGAGGTCAGGAGTTCGAGACTAGCCTGACCAACATGGAGAAACTCCGTCTCTACTAAAAATACAAAATTAGCTGGGCATGGTGGCGGGCGCCTGTATTCCCAGTTACTTGGGAGGCTGAGACAGGGGAATTGCTTGAACCCAGGAGGCGGAGGTTGCAGTGAGCCAAGATTGCACCACTGCACTCCAGCCTGGGTGACAGAGCAAGACTCCATCTCAAAAAAATAAAATAAATAAATAAATAAATAAAAATGTAAATGTGGAGTTTTAAAAAGGTTTAAGTAAGCTGAGCATGATGGCTGACGCCTGTAATCCTAACACTTTGGGAGGCTGAGGCAGGAGGATCGCTTGAAGCCAAGAATTCAAGACCAGCCTGGGCAACATAGCAAGATCCGGTCTCTACAAAAAATAAAAATAAAAAACTTAGCTGGGCACAGTGGCATGTGCCTGCAGTCCCAGCTACTCAGGAGGCTGAGGTGGGAGTATGGCTTGAGCCCAGGTGGTTGACGCCACAGTGAGCTATGATCATGCCACTACGCTCCAGCCTGGGTGACAGGGCCAGATTCTATCTCTAAAATAAATAAATAAATTATGATTTAGGTAGTTTAAGCAAAATAGGTGGAGTGGAGATGTACTAGGGCAAAATGTCTATAGGATAGCCATGTTTTTGCATGTGACTCCCTGTGGTAGGCAGAATTCTAAGATGACTCCCAGTGGCCCACACCCCTGTATAACTGCATCTCACTGAGTGTGGGAGGGATCTTGTGAATAAGATGGGAAAACGTACCCATGATTAGGTTATATTCCATGGCAGGAGATTATCCTCAGTGGGTCTGGGCTAATCAGGTGAGCTCATAAAGGTATGGGTTGGCCAGGCACGGTGGCTAACGCCTGTAATCCCAGCCCTTTTGGAGGCCGAGGCAGGCAGATCACGAGGTCAAGAGATAGAGACCATCCTGGCCAACATGGTGAAACCTCATCTCTACTAAGAATACAAAAATTAGCTGGGCGTGGTGGCAGGCGCCTGTACTCCCAGCTACTCAGGAGGCTGAGGCAGGAGAATCTCTTGAACCTGGGAAGTGGAGGTTGCAGTGAGCTGAGATCGTGCCACTGCAGTCCAGCCTGGTGACAGAGCAAGACTCTGTCTCAAAAAAAAAAAAAAAAGATATGGGTTTTTTTCTTGGTGAAAGAGATTCTAGTCAGAGATTTGAAACAGGAGAGAGACTTGAGGTGAGTCTGTTGCTGGCTTTGAAGATGGAAGGGGCAGGTGGCAAAGGGTGCTGGCAGCCTCCAGGCACTGAGATCCGCCCCAGGCTGACAGCCAACAAGGAAACAGGGACCTCAGTCCTTGAACTCCAAGAAATGGAATTCTGCCACAACTACACGAGCTTGGCAGAGAACCCTGGACTCCAGATGAGAATGCAGCCCATTGACACCTGGATGGCGGCTTGCGAGGCTCTGAGCCGAAGACCTAGTCATGCTGTGCCCAGATTTCTACCTACAGAACTGTGAGTTAATAAATGGGTGTTTTAAATTGCTGAACTTGAGGCAATTAGTTACACAGCAGAAAACTAATATACCCTCTACAAGCAGACTAAGTACCGATGGAGGGGGTAGAGGGATGTCCTCCAGGTGGCAGGGGAGGG
The DNA here is from genome assembly GCF_000001405.40 of Homo sapiens. NCBI lineage: Eukaryota > Metazoa > Chordata > Mammalia > Primates > Hominidae > Homo > Homo sapiens. Next base: position 26,905,704 of record NC_000002.12, on the reverse strand, counting down.
GAAGTCACTTCATGAAGCCTTCACAGGGCTCTTTACAGCCTACAGGTGAGTCACAGAAGAAAGTGGAGAGAGGAGCCCAGCTATGCCAATCCCAGCCCCCACAGCTAGGCCGGAGGGGTGGTAGGGCAGCAGGAAGAACGAGCATGGAAAACGAGCTGGGAGGTGAGGGCCGATTCCCAGAGAAGGCCTGCCAGGGTGCCTGCTGGCCAAGCCCAGGGACACAGGTAGCATGGGCACTCGGTGCACAGTGGAGCAATTTCATTGTGAAGCCAAAGTCGGTGGATCTTTTCTCAAGGAACTGGAAGAAAAGAGCCTGGGGTGGAAGCAGGTAGTCCCAGCCTGGGGACTAGCATTTATTGTATATGTATTCTGTGACAGGGACTATGTGAAGCATTTGTCATGCATCATCTCATCTAATCCTTACAAACACCATTTATACATAGTAAAAACTGTTTAGCTCTAAGGCGCTGACATCAGTTATTCCTGCAGGGAGGAGCAGCATTTCATAAAGCTACTGTCTTGGGCAGGCAGAGACCTCGCTCAGCTGCCTGCCTGATGCAAATCCATTCTGAGACACCCTCATCTGGTCCAGCAAAATTTGGGGCCACAGAATAGCAAGAGAAATATTTGCATACAGCCAACCAAGAGGCCACAGGCTGAAAGGGGTGATTGTTCAGTCCCGAGGTCTCAGGAGGCCTTGAACAGGGTGGTGAAAGGCTGAGAAACCTGCCTTCTGGTCCAACTGGCCCTGGGATGTGGGCTACTCATGCAACCTCAAACTCCTGTTTTTGTTTTTGTTTTGAGACAGGGTCTCACTCTGTCACCCAGGCTGGGGTGCAGTGGTGCAATCACAGCTCACTGCAGCCTCAACTTTCCTGGGCTCAGATGATCCTCCCCACTCAGCCTACTGAGTAGCTGGGACTACAAGCGTACACCACCACGCCTGGCTAATTTTTGTATTTTTTGTAGAGATGGGGTTTTGCCATGTTGCCCAGGCTGCTCTCAAACTCCTGGGCTCAAGTGATCTTCCCCGCTTGGCCTCCCAAAGTGCTGGGATTAGTGGCATGAGCCACAGCGCCTGGCACGTTCATGCATCCTCTCTGGGTCTCCTATCAATGGGTGGGTGGGACTAGATGATTTCTAAGGTGTCACCCAACTTCTCGCAGGGATGGAGAGATAAGAAAACTTGAGAATATCAATGAATAAGCAAGACCATATGAGTCTGGATCCCCATGAGCAGGAAGTGTCATTGCAGAGCTTAAAGACGGGAAAGAAATTTTGGCCAGAATTTACCAGAAACAGAATACTGGAGTTGAAGAAAAAGAAGAAAGGAAGTGAGCCACATTTATAGGCTTCATTCCACGAGAGCGCATTTTGAAGACAAAAGTAGCAAAAGCAACCTGCCAAGCGGACAAACAGGATCCTTGGTGAGGAAGTTGGCAAGGCTGGGCACCAAAAGGAATTTATTTATGTCCTAGCGGCACATACCTCAGGGCCCTACCAGATGGGGTCCAGAACTCTGCAGTGGGAGGGCAGGGAGGGGCAGGATCCTCCATGGGGGTGAGGGGTGGCAGGCCACCCTAGCCTGCGAGACTGGCTGTCCCCTAGGCCGATCCCATGCTGCACAAGCACTCTTGATTAGGATTTGGCTTCCCCCACAGGTTGACTGTAAGATACCCCAATGCTAATTTTGAGTTGGTGGGAAGCTGTCTCTGGGACGAGATAGCCTCTGGCACAGACAAGAGGGAGTCTCTGGACCCTCACGGAAGAGGGCCAGCCCCAAGTGGACTGACTTCTGTTTGATGGCATCTCTGCTACTGCCAACTTCTCTCTCACTGACGATTGCCATAGGTACAGACAGGAGGTCAGGACACCGGGTTAGGGAACTTAACAAGCACAGAAGCTCTGGGCCCCGGGCTGGGGTTTGGGAGCCCAACTAGGGGGTGTTGCAATGTGAATAGAAAGAAGCAAATAAGAAAGACCAGCAAGGTGCAAATAAGAAAGACCAGCAAGGTCAAAACAAGACAGGCCCAAGCTTCCCCAAGGCAGACCCAGGGGATTCGGATGTCAGCCCTGGCTCACAAGGTGAGGGTCGGATGGGCAACAGGAGTACAGCCTGTGCCACTCAAACCCCTCAAAGTTCCTCAGAATCACCAGGGATGATGGGGAGGACACAGACCTAGAGTCAACTGGGCTGGGCTGGGCTGGGGACTGGACACTGGATCTTTCAAAAATTCCCCAAGTGGTTTTGTTCCAGGAAAGGGGTCCCTATCCAGACCCCAAGAGAGGGTTTTTGATTTTGTGCAAGAAAGAATTCAGGACCATTTTACAGTGCAAAGCAAAAGCAAGTTTCTTAAGAAAGTAGAGGAATATTTGGGAGGCCGAAGCGGGTGGATCACGAGGTCAGGAGTTTGAGACCAGTCTGGTCAACATAGCGAAACCCCATTCTCTACTAAAAATACAAAAAATTAGCCAGATGTGGTGGTGTGCACCTGTAATCTCAGCTACTCAGGAGGCTGAGGCATGAGAATCGTGTGAACCCAGGCGACAGAGGTTGCAGTGAGCTGAGATCTCGCCATTGCACTCCAGCCTGGGTGACAGTGTGAGACTTCATTTCAAAAAAGAAAAAAAAAAAAAAGAAAGTAGAGGAATAAAAGAATGGCTACTCCATAGACAGAGCAGCTCCAGGGCTGCTGGTTGCCCATTTTTACAGTCATTTCTTGATGATATGCTAAACAAGGGGTGGATTATTCGTGCCTCCTTTTTTTTAGACCATCTAGGGTGACTTCCTGATGTTGCCAGGGCATTTGTTAACTGTCATGGCACTGCTGGGAGTGTAGCAGTGAGGATGACAAGGGGTCACTTCTTGTGGCCCTCTTGGTTTTGGTGGGACCTGGCCGGCTTCTTTACCACAAGCTATTGTATCAGCCAGGTCTTTATGACCTGTATCCTGTGCCGACCTCCTGTCTCATCTTGTGACTTAGAATGCCTTAACCATCTGGGAATGCAGCCGAATAGGTCTTAGCCTCATTTTACCCAGCCCCTATTTAAGATGGAGCTGCTCTGGTTCACACGTCTCTGACAGTTCTGATGTAATTTGCTTCCAAAGGGTGAAAATCACTGGCCTAGACAGCGGTCCTTAAAATATGTTTGTAGGGATAGGGAGGCAGAAAAGGCACATAGGAAGCTTGTTCAGTTGCACGTGTCTGTCCTCGCTATCAATATCTTAGTGAGGGGCTGGTACCTATATTTATTTTTATTTTGCCACATACCTGATTTGCTTATGAATGCTTGTAGTTTTAAAAACCTGATTCTGATATTTTCACCTGGCCCTGGAGAGCCATTGGTGGGTGGAGCTCAAGAGCCTGTAAGAACATTCTTTACTCTGTAATACTAGATACATATGAAAGAGACTAAGTGCAACATCTACTTAAGCAGAATAATAATAATATGAGACCCCACAACCAGACTAAAATTCTGGTCCTTCTGAACACAGTTGGTGTCACTGACTCTCCCTCCTCACTCCCTCTCCCCCTGCCACCCCACGGAGATAACCTCCTTTTTGGAATGAGGTCTGTATTGTTAGCCAGCAGGTGGTCCTGGCACCGTCTGGAAACCCTAGTTCTGGGCCTGGGGAGGGCGGGGCCTGCAGGTGGTGGGGTGTTGTGGGGGTGCTGCCTGGGGCAGGGAGGAGGGTCAAGTGACCAGGCTGTGAGCAGGGGAGCCAGGCAGAGCCTGCCACAGCCTCTTTCAGAGGCTGGGGCCAGCGAGGCGTGGGCTAAAGAAGTACTGGAGAGAAATCCCTGGAGGTCAAGTACAATGGAGGCCCAGATGTTCTCGGAAAGGCCAGGCTTTCAACTGTTTTGTTTTCCTAGTCCAGCTGCTGCTGCTGCCAAATCAACAAGCAGACGCTAGCTGGGGTGGGGCGGGGCGGGGGTGGGGTGTTGTGTGCAGGGTTCAGGGCCCCGCTATCTGTCTGACAAGAACAAAAAGATGCAACTTGATCTCTCCTTCTTTCTTGGCTAATCGTTCGGGTGAGATTTTCCTTGGGATTACTGTTCTATTATAAACCCAGATGCTTAAAGTGAATCAACCTTTCTTAGAGCATACTAAGTAGGTCAGCGGCGGTCCATCAGGGTGCGCGGCCTCTGCATGGGTGCCACAGGCGGTGTGAATAATTAAATCCACCCGTCCCCATCAGCGTTTCAGTAGGAGAGCATTTACTCTCCGCGGGAGATTTTCAGAAACTGGGAAGCTACACCATTCGGCTGCAGGAGCCACAACATAAAGGGGAAATCTTGGTGTGGAGTGGAGGGGTCAAGGGCAGGAATTTCAGGACTCTGGGCAGGATCTACTAATGGAGTCCAGGTAGAACGAGGCCACCACGACAGAGGCTTAATGTGAGGGCTGGGGCACAAGGACAGTTACAATCTTTCTTAGGGCATGGATATAACAAAGTGTCAGTTTAAGTGATACCAGCTGCCAGGGTCGCCTGGGGTCTGTGGTCTCTTAAATTCCCTACAACTAGGGCCTGACATGGACTGGGGCTCCTGAGGCAGCCTGAACCTGTAGAAATGGGAGATCTGGGGCCTTTCGTCACACAGGGGCCTTTAGATGTTTTTTGGAGGCAGCTGCTTGCGTGGATGAGAAGCAGAAAAGATCAAGAGTTACTCACCACCTTGCATAAAGACACGTGTGCAGAGCTCTTCATCAGCTGTAAAGAGCTGATGGTTCTCAGGGGAAAACCAGTCGCTCTTGGCTAATGAGGCCCTAGCAGATGACAATGTGGAAAATGAGACAAAGGAGGCCAGTCTGCCCACCGCGAGGCTGGTAGACAGCATAGTGACAGTGTGGCATCTGACCCTGGCCTAAAGGACTCCTCCAAACAGGGACAGTAACTAGGAAGGTGCATTTTTTAGTGCAAGCCCTGAGCATGCTACAGAATGGACCCCAGAATGGACTGGTGATGTCAGTGTTAAATACTGTGGCCTCTCTTACACTACTGCTGGGAGCATAAATTGTTACAACCAGTCTGGAAAACTATTTGGCATTACCTATTAAAGCTGAACCTAAGTGTACCCTATGGGCCCTGCAATTCCATTCCCGGGAGTATGTGCCCAACAAAATGTGTACAGACATGTTTGCTGAAGATGTGTACAAGAACATGTTCATAGTGACAATGTTTGTAATAGCCTCAAACAAGCAATGACCTAAATGGCCACTGACAGAGAGATAATTGCTATGTGGTATATTACACAGTGGAATAGTATTAAGCAATGAAAGTGAATGAATTTATGAATTTTTGAGCAAAAGAAGCCAATGCGAAGGTACATACTGCTTCATTTCATCTACATAGACAAAACCAAGCTGTGATAAATATACCAAAACCACTGACTTACACACTTTAAATACATGAATTGTATGATATGTAAATTATATCTCGATTAAGCTGTTATTTAAAAAATCCTATTAGAAGTCAGGATAGTGGTTATCCCTGATGGGAACCTGTGACTGGAGGAGCTTCTGGGTGCTGGTAAAGTTTGGTGTCTTGACTTGGGAGCTGCTTACAAGTGTATTCAATGGGGTAATTCTGTGTACTTACAATTTCTGCACTTCTCTGTATATATGGTATACTTCAGTGAAAATGACAACAATAACCGCAGGCCTGGCCTGGCTCAGTGCCTGAGGATGGTGAGCTGGATATGCTCACTCACTTGAGAAAGGTCCCGACTGTCACCAGGCACCCTGCAAGAGGATCCTGAATTTATGAGGATGGGGCTCCCCATTTCATAATCAAAACATCAGTTGCAGGGCCCGGGAGAATTCTCAGAGGAGAAAGCAAGGAGAGTCGGCCTACCACCTCTCTTCCCTGGACTTGGCTAGAGTGAGCAGGTGTAGCCCTGATGCCAGAGGGTTAAGCCAGGGAGCATCCTTGCCTTGGCACAGTCGGGCAATGGCTACTGTGACTCCTCATAGCCCAGCCTTCCAAGGGTCTGGTCTGCAGCCCCTGGATTGGGAAGGGGGCCTGTCCTCAAGGAGACCTTAAGGGCCATCTGCTTGAGGTGGGGCTGGTCCATCAAGCTGTGCCAGGCCCAGCCTCTGCCTGCACACTTACGGGACAGCTACTCTAGTTCCAGGTCAGTCCAGGCTCTGGGAAAGCAGAGGAAAATGGCCAGGCCTTGCTCTCAAGGAGCTCACAGTCTGATGTCCGGGGAGAGGCCAGCATGAGATAGAAAATCACAAGGAAGAGGGATGACAGCAATGACAGAGGTGTTGGAGCACACGGGAAGGGTAAAAAAGCCCATTCATGGCTCTTTTTGCAGAATGTAGTTTCCTCCTAATTTTTCTTCTGAATTTTTGTACTTGGCATTCAGGAACTTACAGTAGCTCAGGTCCAGCTCAGTAACTGTTAAATATTGTCCATGGTAACTCACTCTGAAAAGAGAGCCCACCACCAGCAATTTTCTGGTTGTTTTTAAAAATAACAAGCAAGCTAGGAGAGGTAATAGAAGCTGTCTCATCCTCTAGAAGAAGCAAATTTGTCTTTCAGTCTTTGGGAATTTAATTCAGTTTATCATACATAAAGAAGCCCATCAGACAAACCCACTCCCCTACTTAATAACAAACACCAGCTTATTCTCTTCCTCTAGGTTTGTATTACATGACATAAAGATATACAAATAAAATCAGTTCTCAGCCTGGGTACTTGGGTAAATGATCTGATTAGCAAAACCAGCCTAAACGCCTCCTTTTCTATAATCATGGAAATCTGTGACGTTAAGCCGGAAATCCCTATTGTAGTTGCCACAGTGGCCCTGACACACCCTTCTCCTGCCAGCAATACACTGGGAGCACCTGGCTCACATGAGTCTAGTCTGGAGCAGCCCTAGAAGCAGAATAAAAAAGCCAAAGAGGAAGCCACCTTTGGCAAACAGGAGCATTACCTTGGTCCCATGGTAGAAGTCGTCCACGCACGTGGCATTCATGAAGGTCTGGTGGAAGTGGGTGCTGGTGTCGATGCCACCAGGGATCACCAGTTTTCCTGTGGCATCAATCACCTTGGCCCCGCCAGGGATCATGAGCTCGCGGCCCACCTGCTGGATGATGCCATTCTCGATGTAGACGTCAGCCTCGTGGGTGCAGTCATCGTTCACCACCTTGCCTCCCTTGATGAGGATCCTCACGCTGGCTGAGTTGGCAAGCATGTTCCTACAAGAAGGTGAGCATGGTCAAGGTCAAAGTCCCTTCTCACTGTTTCCAGTTTCCCATCCCTCCTATCAAAGCCCAAATTCCATGGTCAGGGTAAGTGAGCAGAGAAGAGGAGGAACTTTCCCCTACAGCCAGCGGGAGTCACAAGCCTCCCACTGGCTTCCCAGAGGGACTTATTAGGAATCAGGACACAGCTGCAGTAAGGGAGAAGCTGGGGCCTACAGAAACATCATGTTTTACTTTCCCAAAATGCTATGTGAGCTCCAAAGCACTTTCACATCTACTATCTCATTTTCTATCTCTCATATCTCATTTCTCATATCTCTACTATCCCCAAAACAACCCAAGGCATTTTACAGATGAGAAAGCTGAAATTGCTAAGGAATTTATGGTTATCAAGTAGCCAAGTCGAACCCACATGTCTTATACAACAAATGTCTCCCTTACACTGCACGGTATCCTGAAAACACCAGAGCCTCTGGGGGTGTGTCTCAGAGCTGAACTCTCCAAATCTCACAGCTGTTTAATTCATGACATTCCTCAGATGGATTCTGCTTCCTTCATGCTCCTATTTTGGCTTCAAGAAGTCCACAACCAACACTTAGCTCCACAGCTGGTTGCACATGAAGCTCACCTGAGTAGCTTTGGACAACTATGTATGCCCAAGCCCCACCCCCAGAGATGCAGATTTATTTGGGCCAGATTGGGTCCACAGCATCAACAGTTTTCAAAAGCTGGAGAACTTTTTCAAACATTTAAAGAAGAATTAATACTGACCTCATCCAGAAAACAGAAGAGAAGGAAACCCTTCCCAATTCATTTTATGAAGCCGGTATTAGCCTTATACCAAAAACCAGACAAAGACACTACAGAAAGAAAACTACAGAGCAATATCTCTCGTGAATATAGATATAAAAAATTCTTGACAAAATATTTGCAAACAGAATTCAGCAACATTTAAAAAGAATTAGACACCACACAAATGGGGTTTATTCAAAAAATGCAAGGCTGGTTCAATATTTGAAAAACAATCAGTGTAATCCACCATCTTTATAAACTAAGGAAGAAAAATCATAAAATCGTATCAACTGATGCAGAAAAAGCATTTGACAAAATTCAACACCCATTCATGATAAAAACTCTCAGAAAAGTAGGGAGAGAGGGTAGCTTCCTCAACTTGATAAAGAACACCTACAAAAAAACCTACAGCTAACATCAGATTTAATGGTGAAAGGCTAAATACTTTCCTCTACAGCAGAGGCAAGGATGTCTACTTTTGCCAGTGCTAGGCAACGTAGGTTATTCTAGCCAGCACTATAAGGAAAGAAAATGAAATAAACAGCATATAGATTGAAAAGGAAAAAACAAAACTGTCCCTCGTTGCAGATGACATGATGATCTACATAAAAAATTCCAAGAAACCTACCAAAAAAAATCTCCTAGAACAAATAAGCAAGGCCACAAGTTACAAGATCAATATACAAAAGGCTACTTTTTTTCTGTACACTAGCAATGCACACCTGGTGTCACCAGAAAAAGTGAAATAGGCATAAATCCAAGAAAACATGTATAGGCACAGACAACAAAAGTAAAGATAGACAAATGGGATTGCGTCAAACTAAAAAGTTTCTACATAGCGAAGGAAACAATCAACAGAGTGAAGAGAAAACCTACAAAATGGGAGAAAATATTTGCAAACTATACATCTCACAAGAGGTTAATATCCAAAATAAATAAGGAATTGAAAGAGCCCAACAGCAAGAAAACAACTCAATTTAAAAATGTGCACAGAACCTGAATAGACATTTCTCAGAAGACATACAAATGGCCAATAGATTTATCAAAAAGTGCTCAACATCACTAATCATCAGAAAAGTACAAGTTAAAACCACAATGAGATTATCACCACACACCTGTTAGAATGACTATTATCAAAAAGATGAAAGATAAGTGTTGGCAAGGATGTGGAGAAAAGGGAACTCTTGTACACTGTTGGTGGGAATGTAAATTAGTATAGCCATTATGGAAAACAGTATACAGAATCCTTAAAAACTTAAAAATAGAACTACTATATGGTCCAGCAATCCCACTACTGGGTATATATCCAAGGGAAATGAAATCAGATGTCGAAGGGATATCTGCATTTCCTTGTTTGCTGCAGCATTATTCACAATAGCCAATATATGGAATCAACCTAAGTGCCCATCAATGGATGAATGGATGAAAAAGATGTATATACACACAATAGAATACTGCTCAGCCATAAAAAAGGGGGAGGTCCTGTCATGTGTAATAACTTGGATAAATCTGGAGAACATCAGGTTAAGTAAAATAAGCCAAGCACAGAAAGACAAATACCACATGCTCTCACTCCTACGTGGAACCTAAAAAAGTTGATCCATAGAAATAGAGAACAGAGGCTGGGTGCGGTGGCTCATGCTTGTAATCCCAGCACTTTGGGAGGCCGAGGTGGGTGAGTCATGAGGTCAGGAGTTCAAGACCAGCCTGCCCAAGATAGTGAAACCCCGTCTCTACTAAAAATACAAGAACTAGCCGGGCGTGGTGGTGGGTGCTTGTAATCCCAGCTACTCGGGAGGCTGAGGTAGAGAATTGCTTAAACCGGGGAGGCAGAGGTTGCAGTAAGCCGAGATCATGCCACTGCCCTTCAGCCTGGGCGACACAGCGAGACGCCATCTCAAAAAAAAAAAAAAAAAAAAAAAGAAAAAGAAATAGAGAACAGAATGGTGGTTATCAGTGGCTGGAGTAGTTGGGGTAAAGGGGAGTTGGGGAAATGTTGGTGAAAAGATACAAAATTTCAGTTAAATAAGTTTAAGAGCTCTATTGTACAACATGGTGACTATAGTTAATAATAACATTGTATTCTTGAAAAATGCTTTGAGTATGGCTATCAAGTGTTCTAACCTCTCATTATATGAGGTAATTCATCTATTAATTAACTGGATTTAGTCATTCCACAATGCGTATGTGCTTCAAAACATCATGTTGCACACAACAAATACATACAATTTTATCTGTCAATATAAAAAAAGAAAAAACACACATAGGACTTGTATGCTGAAAACTACAAAATGCCAATGAAAGAAATCAAAGACAATCTAAGTAAGTGGAGAGACATACCATGTTCATGGATTGGAAGACTCAACATGGTGTCAATTCTCCCCAAATTGACATACATGTTTAATGCAATTCCTATTAAAATCCCAGCACAAATCTTTTGCATATTATTGTCAAAATGTATGTGGACTGGCAAAGGAACTAGAACAGCTAAAGCAAACTCCACAAAGAAGAATAAAGTCAGAGGAATCAGTCTACTTGATTCCAAGACATATTACATAGCTATAGTAATCAAGACTGCATGATCTTGACAACTATGGTCAACTGATTTTTGACAAAGGTGCAAAAGCAATTCAATGAAGGGAGGACAGTCTTTTCAACAATTGGTGTTGGATATTCATAGGCCAAAAACCCAGCCTTAATTTAAACCTAAAATCTTATATAAAAATGAACTCAAAATGGATTATGCATCAAGTAACCACATATGACACCACTGACTACTCCCTCCTCTGTAGAGCTCCCTTCCCTTAGCATTAAATGGAGCCATGCAGTGAAGTGGGGGCAAGGACCACAGAAGATCTTGACCTCTGCTTTGGAAATCAGTGAGACTTTGATGAACTCTGACTGAAGGCAAGTTTGTGGAGACTGTGTATACAGTCGTCAAGATCTCTGTGAGTAAAGAAAGCCTAGAAACGGCCCAAGGAGCATGGCTGAGGGAAAGTATCAATTTTAGGACTAATATTTTTCAGGGAGTGAAGAAGGAGCCAAGGGAGAGATTAAAGGTCTAAGAGATCAAGGGACTATTTTTGATGTGAGCTCCCGAAGGAGGTAGCATAGAATAATGGCAACCATCATTAACAGAAGGCCTCAACAAACAAGGCCCTCACTTGTCAATTTACATGGCTTGCTTGATTAGATCCCTCCAACAATCCTGTGGGGAAGGTATTATTATGCCCACCTTGCCAAAGAGGAAAGAGATACAGAGAGGTTAAAGTCAAAGGCTTGTAGGAGGAGGTGATGTGCAGATGCAGAAGAGACAGGCATATAAGCGAGTTTGCATTCTCTCTGCTCTGCAAAGCTGGGGGCTGAGAGCTCGTGGGAGTGGTACAGAATGAGTGGATTTGAGAAGAGTGTGAAGATGTGGGGGAGCCACTGCAGGGACCTGAGAAGTGAAATGGGGTGCACATAGGAAATGGGGCCAGTGCTGAGGGCAACTCAGATAGCTGTGGTCATGGTGAGTTGCTTAAAATTTCCATCCAGGGGGCACACTTTGGTTAATATCCAAAATAAGTAAGGAATTATCTATAATAATAAGGATTTATATTTATAATATGAATTATAATTATATAATTATAAGTATATAAAATTGTTATATTTATATTTATAATATAAATTCTAATAAGGATTTATAATAATAATAAGGATATGCAACTCTCTTGACCCTTAGATATCTGAACAGAAAATATTTACATTCAGGCTTAGAAAATATAGGACAAACTCTGACCAGCAGGAAGGAGATTACGCCATTGCAGTGTGTCCTTGAGGTAAAATAAAGCCCACTTTTATACGCAGTAAATTTCTCGTTCTTCAGGGCCCAATTGTCCCCTCTTCTGAAAAGTTTTCTCTGACTCTCTTTGTGCCTTCACTAGATCCATTGCCTTCACGGCACTAGATTCTCTCTCCACCTATGGAGTAGGGTCCTCAAAGACAGTCCTATCAGTCATCTTTGTCTCCGCCCGCTCCCCATCCTCAGCATCCAGTACAGAATACTCAAAACTGGTGAATAAACGAATAAATAGCCCCATCTACTTGTTGCACTCTAACACAATCAAAATGGTTTAAAGCAATGAGTAGTAGACCAATTCCATGTTTGTTTTCAGGGATATTTTGCAACTCTATGTCCAGGATAAGGCTCAATTTTCCTAACACAGCTAATTACGGTGAATAGAACAAAGGGAGCAACATATTTTCTCTCATCCTCATCATTTAACTTTGTCTGTCACCAGGGAAGTTCTGGGAAGGCTGTGTCCCAGGATGAAAAGGCCTTGGGGATCTATTAAAGGAGTACCTCTTGTAAGGGCACATGTCAGATATTTGGAGATCATAGCCTGTTCTCCTGGAAACAGTTGGTTTATTTTTTGCCAAGTTGGCCAGGCTCAAGTGCATGGAATCTCAACAACAAACAAGAAAGCTTATATGGAGCCTCAACCACCAGGTTCTCCTGCTGTAAGGAAAGCATGGCCCTTGGGGGCTGCTGCCTGAGGGAGTGCTGGGAAACAAAGCAGGTGGCTGGGAGTGACAACTGTACTCCAGGAACATCTGCTCCCTGCAGGGTATCATTCTGACCTCTGGGGAGAAGAGGCCCTGCTCCCCTAGAGTGGAAGGCGACAGGGCAGAGAGGCCGTGGGGAGTTGGACTGGAGAGACTAGGGAAGAGGGGACAGCCACAGCCACAAGCCTATTGTCTGGAGCTGGGGTGAAGCTGAACACATGTCAAGGGATCTTTTGTCCTAAAACCTAAAAACTGGAGTTTTAATTTCATATGCAATAATAAGAAAATGGCTTTGGTTCTTAGGTGGTGGATAGAGCCACTCTGGCCACAGGAAGCCCAGAAGTCTGAGATGCATTCTCTCTCTCTCTCTCTCTCTCTCTCTCTCTCTCTCTCAAACAAACCCAATGCTCTATGCAAAGATATAATCCTCACCTTAAATTGTTTTTTGTTTTTGTTTGTTTTTTTGTTTTTGTTTTTTTTTTTTAGTTCTCTATGTCATTGCCCAGGCTGAACTTGAACTCCTGGGCTCAAGCAATCCTCCAGCTTCAGCCTCTTGAGTAACTGAGACTACAGGTGCATGCCACCATGTCTGGCTTAATCCTCACCTTTTAAAGCAGCTTTAAGGTAAGAGGAAAACTAGGAATACTTATGCTGGAAAAATTGCTGCATAATCGTTATGTCAATGTTATAAATGACAAGATGGGTTTGCTTACATGCTCGTAACACATGCTTGGAGGTTGGAGAACCTGAAAGAGCACTGTGATAATAGCTTACTGAGAATTCTTGTCTGAGCTTTGATGCTAGAATCGAAAGCCAAGGACATCATCTTCAATAGAAGTAAGAGCTCTCAGTAAATAAACACCCTGTGCCTGGCACTTTACATGCATTCACACAGCAACCTCCACAAAGTGGGAACAAGGCAGGAAGTGTTAGCCTCACTTTAAGGAATAAACAGAGGTTTTGAAAATAACAAGTAGCCCATTAAAGGTCATAAAAATCCAGGGGGAGGGATGGGCTTCAGATTTAGGTCTATCTGACTTAAGGGAATTAACTCTGGGTAGAAGGTTTCCAGGTGAGTTTTATGTCCTTCACAGGTTTCTGTATTTTTCAAATTTTACATAATAAATTGGAGGAGGAACATATAATCTGAAAATATATGTTCAAAAGCCTTTTTTTAGGCCAGGCTCAGTGGCTCATGCCTGTAATCCCAGCACTTTGGGAGGCTGAGGCCGGCGGATCACTTGAGGTCAGGAGTTCGAGACCAGCTTGGCCAACATGATAAAACTCCATCTCTACTAAAATTACAAAAATTAGCTGGGCGTGGTAGTGCATGCCTGTGGTCCCAGCTACTCAGGAAACTGAGGCAGAAGAATTACTTGAACCAAGGAGGCAAATGTTGCAGTGAGCCAAGATCATGCCACTATACTCCAGCCTGGGCAACAGAGCGAGACTCTGTCTAAAAAAAAAAAGTTATTTATTTATTTATTAACTAAAAAGAAGCCAGAAGGAATCCAACGTGACCCTTCATTCAGACCCAGCTGGCTCAGTTCCTCCCTCTGCCATCCTTTTTGAAAGGAGATGGGTGAGGGAGGAATAGATGGGGCTGACTACTCCCCTTCTCTAGAACCCTTGGGCTGCCACCACCTCGGCCTATTTTTTTCCACTTCCTAGTTGGAAGTCTCCGGAGGCTAACGAGGCTCTGAAGAGGCTTGGCTCCCTTGCAGAACACTGGGGAGCCCTGGAACCTCTCTGGCCCAGGAATCCCATTCACGCAGGCCTGGGCTGGTCCTGGAAATCCAGGATAGACTGCTCTCCTAGGACTACCATCTAGAAAACTCATTCTCAGAACTTAAAGGACTCTATTAATAATGCTAACTAATAATTACTAGACACTGACTATATACTGGGCCCTTCGCTATGCCCATTGTGTGCATCATCTGATTTAATCCTTACAATGCCTGGAGATAGGTACCATCATTGCCCCCATTTTTACCAAGAAGAACCTGAAGCTTAGAAAAGTTAAAAGAACGTCCTTAAGGTCCCACAACTAGTTTGTAACAGAGCAGAGATTGAAAGCCAGACAGTTCGTCTCTAGAGTTATTATGGACTAGATGTATGTGTCCCCTCTAATTCATATGCTGAAGCCTTAACCCCAGTGTGGCTGTATTTGGAGATGGGGCCTCTTAGAAAGTTTTAAGGGTTAAATGAGGTCATAGGGCAGGGCCGTGATCTGCTAGGATTAGTGTCCTGGTTAGGAGACACCAGAGAGCTCGCTTTCTCTCTCAGGCACAGGAACAGAAGAAAGGCCGTGTGAGGACACAGTGAGAAGGCAGCTATTGACCAGCCGGGAGGAGAGAGCTCACCACAACCCGACCCGCCTGCACCCTGATCTTGGACTTCCAGCCTCCAGAACTGTGAGAAAATAAATTCCTGTAGTTTAAGCCACCCAGTCTGTGGTATTTTGTTATGACAGCCTGAGCAGACTAATACAAGCATCTAGCCTTGAGCCATACAGAAGGAGGGGTGAGCTGGACCCCAGATCTAAAGCAGCTCAGTAGAGACACCGCAGTGTGAGTGATGGCCCAGCCTCCAGGCCCAATTGTGCTGAATTCCAGCTTTCCACGTGGGCTGCTGTCGGAGCAGCCTGCAGGGCTTCAGCCTCAGGGTTCCCAAGGTCTTGGGACCTCTAAGCCCGCACTGGCTTGTTTGGATAATATCGTAGCACAGTTGCCTAACATGCTCCCTACCCAGGGTGCTTTTGGAGAATATCTTTTTTAAATTTTTAAAATCTTAAAAGTTTAGGACATTTGTGTGCACTAAAGTGTTCTATAACTTCACTCCTTTCCACTGGAGACAACTCTGAAAAAACCACAGGCCCTGCTCTTAAGAAACTCAGTCTGCGGAGCAAGAGAGATGCAAATAATTGCTTTAATAGGTGACTGAAGTGTAAAGGGGACACTTCTTGCCTAAAGACCTAACAGTGAACTTGACAGATACTGGTCTAAACTGGGTATCTTTCCCCATGTTACAGAGACCAGAGCTGGAATGGGTAAGACTAGCTGCATGGTGATGGTAGGAAGCCTATTGCACCAGTATCCTTCCCAAACATTCCTACCCTTCCAAGTAGCCTAAGTCCCCAAGATGCTAACCCCGTCCAATCCCGCCTCGCTGTGGACTGTGGACACTCATCATGCTGCTCACCTTCCCCAGTAACCTCATTAGCACCTTATTCTTACAGCTTTCCCTGCTAGTCTTTGCTGAACTCAACAAAGGGAGGACGTTGCTGGTCTGTCTCTGCAGCACAGGCTGTCTGTGTGTGCACATGTGTATGAACATAGTGAAGGAGTCAGGCAGAGGGTGGGTGAGTGGGGTGGATACTCTGGACCTCTCAGGAAAGTCGCCCAGAAGGGAAGAGATTTGAGGGCAATTGTTGTGATACAGGCTTTTTTTTTTTTTCCCTACGCTATGCAGGTTCTTAAGCACCATAAAGGGACTCTCTTCCCTCTGCTCCAATTGAGGCAGTAAATCCAGGTAACATTCTTGTCAGAGGTTGTGGTCAGAAAGAAGTATAAGCTCTCCAGGCCGGGCGCGGTGGCTCACGCCTGTAATCCCAGCACTTTGGGAGGCTGAGGCAGGTGGATCATGAGGTCAGGAGATTGAGACCATCCTGGCTAACACGATGAAACTGTGTGTCTACTAAAAATACAAAAAAATTAGCCGGGCGTGGTGGCTGGCGCCTGTAGTCCCAGCTACTCGGGAGGCTGAGGCAGGAGAATGGCGTGAACCCGGGAGGCAGCGCTTGCAGTGAGCTGAGATCGCACCACTGCACTCCAGCCTGGGCAACAGAGCAAGACTCCGTCTCAAAAAAAAAAAAGAAGTATAAGCTCTCCAGAAGGCCAGCATTAGTTTTACCGATTGTTGATGCTTCAAGTCACCTAGTTTATTCCAAAACACAATAATTGTGTAGCAGACAGAGTCAATATCTGGCCCTCTGGCTCACTACATGCAATGAATGGAATGTTTGTGTCCCATTCATATGTCGAAGCCTAATCTCCTGTGTGACAGTATTTGGAGGTGGGGCCTTTGGGAGGCCTTTGTGAACCCTCATGAATGGGAATAGTGTCCTTAGAAGAAGAGACAGGAGAGAGATATCTCTCTCTCTGACATGTGAGGGCATAGCAAGAAGGCGTCCATCTGTAAGCCGGGAAGAGAGCCCTCAACAGCAACCCTCAGCTTCAACTTGATCTTGGACTTCCCAGCCTTCAGAACTGTGAGGAATAAATTTCTGTTGTTTAAACCACCCAGTCTACGGTAGTTTTGTTAAAGCAGCCTAAACTAAGACATCACACTAGACAGAAATGAGCAATGTAAGTAACAACTGGGCCTTAAAATAAATGTCACCTCCTTTAAAGACTTCTGGCTATATCCCATATGCCCATATGTTTCGCCAAAAACTTTGATCATCCAGTTATTTTATCTATGCAAACAACAGAATTCAAAAACATGTGTCTGTCATCTCAGGCAGAATGGGAAAAAATCCAGACAGTTAAATGCCATTAGAAAGAATAAATCGTGGCTGAGCACGGTGGCTCGCTCACACCTGTAATCCCAGCACTTTGGGAGGTCGAGGTGGGTGGATCACCTGAGGTCAGAAATTTGAGACCATCCTGGATAATATAGTGAAACCCCCGTCCCTACCAAAAATACAAAAATTAGCTGGGCATGGTGCCACGCACCTGTAATCCCAGCTACTCGGGAGGCTGAGGAAGGAGAATCACTTGAACCTGGGAGGCAGAGATTGCAGTGGGCCCAGATTGCACTACTACTGCACTCCAGCCTGGGAGACAGAGATGAAAGAAAGAAAGAAAGACAGAAAGAAAGACAGAAAGAAAGAAAGAAAGAAAGAAAGAAAGAAAGAAAGAAAGAAAGAAAGAAAGAAAAGAAAGGGAAGGAAGGAAGGAAAAAGAAAGAAAGAGAAAGAAAGAATCAGAAGTATGGAATTCTAGAGCTGCATAGACTATTAAGTTTACTTCCAATTTTCACTCCAATCCCTGGACTTTGTCAACAGTGACCTTGAACTGAAGGGAACCAGCCCAGGACTAAAGGGAAGGTGTCACACTGCAAGCACAGGGATCTTATGATGTTTACAGTTTATTCAGGGAAGTAATGATGCCTTCCACAGCAAGATGGTGGCTATCTTTGGATATCCCGAATCCTAGATTTATCCAGTTATACACAGCTTGTCTCCTCCAAGAGGATTCTGATCCTGTGGCATTATGTTCCTGAACCATTCATGGGTTCGCGTTAAGGTGATGTGCAAGCTGGGATAGAGAACTTGGGGTGGAAGTGGGATGGTGGGGAGGGGACAATACTGTAACTAGGGAGTGCAGTCTTTCATGAGAAAGCCTCTCCATGTTTAAAATAGTAACAATTATTGCTATCCAACCACTGTCTTGTGGGAAAACAGAAAAATCCTTCCTTCCATGCCCCCCATTTTTACTTTTGTGGAGTAGTTCCAATGCAGAACTGCATAGGAAGCATCTTGCTGAGTGGACAAAGTTATGGCAGCTGCTGCTTCTTGATCATGAAATGCACACACCATACACTCCTATAAGGTACACAGTTTTAGTCCTGCCAAAGAAATGCCAAGCCCAACACTGTGTTTTGGAATTGCCTGCTTCTGTCATCGCCTTCCCCAGCTCCCCTGGGCCTGCGGGGAGGTGTGAGACAAGGAGAGCCTGCACAGTCTGGCCTGCACGGCTGCCCCTGCCAACAACTCAGCTGGAGGATGCTGGGGGCCTCTGGAGCTTGGCACAGGAACTTGGGGCCAGGATGGTGCAAGGGGGACCCTTCCTGCATAAAGACCTTAAAGGGAACTTGGAAGGTATTGGTTTCAGACATGCATTTCCTCTTTTTAGAAAGCATTAGTTTAAGACTCACATTTCCTCTTTTGATAGAATCCACAGAAAAACGTATGATTTTACAGATAACTGGTCACTGTGATATCAAAAACACACAAGACTGTTATATCAAAAACACTGTCATGTGACATGAAGGATCTGTGGCATCTAAGCCAAGCCTAATGGCAACCTGGGTAGCACCTCAAGGGGCAGGTGAGGTCAGCTCAGGTCACAGAGGATACAGGCGGGCTGGCATGATTTTCCCTTGCTCCAAGCAGGTAACATTTGCTAAAGGATCAAAAGGCAATACACGACAGTTGTGTGGAAAGGAAAATGGAAACCTATGGCTATTTTTCTTCTGATCAGCACAAAGGAGAGAGAAAGAGTAGGCTGGCATTTTGCAGCCTTCTCAATGGGAGAGCCATTCTTAAAATGGAGTTGTGGAGGATGCTGGCACATAAGGCACCCTGGGGTCACTCAGGGAAGGGATTCTCTTTGAGTTGAAACATGCCAAATCAAAGGTTCAACAGAACACAAAAACCAAAGGGGAGTTTGAGATGAGTGGGAAATGCTGAGGGTTTAAGTTAATAAATTTAAGTTTAAAAAACTAAATGGCTAAGTAGTAAACAGTAAAAACTTAACTAATATTAAAGCACAGAATAATTTTATGATTAATTCATAATTGATTTATCAACTATTGAGTAGATTTAAAATAATATTTATTAGTTTGCAAAATTGTATAATTAGTAGTTACTTCAGAGGCGATATTTTGTTCCTTTTCAGGTAAGTAGCTGCAGCTTAATATCATTAAGTGCATTTTTTATAATTTATTTAGACAGAAATAAAATATTTATGACCTACATGTAAGGCAGGTCATAATGACACAGAGACCTGTGAACTCAGCATGTCATTACTGTTTAAGTCTCCACACCTCATTCATCTGACCATGTCCTACTTCTCAAAGGTATCTAGTTTATATGAATTAATGACTAATAGCAATTAGGTGACAAGCAAAAAAGAAAAGGTCACAGCTGTTTCCACTCCGTGACTACTTCTCCCGACATCCAATCAAACTTTACCTGCTCAGTGACTGAGCTTTTCACAACCCCCAGTTCTCTACTTTCTGAAGCAAACAGGAAACTGAAAGTCTAGCTAATGAGGGAGCGGGAGCATTTTAATACCATCCGAATGCCCACTGGACCATTCTACTGGGTTCCACAGGCAGCACACACTCAACCTGTCCAAAACCAACTCCCCTGTCCCCAGTCACCCCATCCAGAAACCTCAGACTCTTCCCAGATTCCTATCCAACCCAGGCCAGGGTCGACATCCAGGAAGACTGCTCTGAGAGGTGGTCCTGATTTGGATTACCTGGGAGTTTTGTGCAAAATGTTTTGAGGGATTCTGGAAGTAGAACCCAACCCTGGGGCAAGGAACTGAGGAGAGCAGAAGGGCAGGTCCCCTTTCTTCCATCTGGGCCTCAGCCATCTCCAAAGGCTAGTGGAGAACCTGAATGGCCTGGGACTGGCACAGGAAGGACTGATCAGGCAGAGCAGTCAGAGGCTAGAGAGAGTCTCTGTCTAATGTTACATCCACCATGAGACACCCTGGGTCCTTGTCCACAGCCACAAACATATTTCCATACCAAATTGGCTAGTGAGGAGGTCTCTGAATGTCCCACCAGGCCCTTTTTCCATTAACCCAGGGGCGGGGCAGGATCAAGCCTATAGATGGCAGGTGCCATTTTGGGGGAGGGCTGGACTGGGGCGTTTGTACCTGGGGACCATCTGCACCAGATCATGAAGCATCCACATCTGGAAAACTGCTACCACCTTTGTCACTGCACTGGAGAGAAGGTAGAATCGGAACAAGTAGGTCAGGGAGTGGGCAAGACTATAGGTAAGAGCCCAGCACCAGAACATCCTCTTCCGAGTGCAGGAGTGGGTACGGGGAGGGAAATACCATCTGCATTGGCCAGCGTCATGGGTGTGAATATGGTTAACAAGGGCTTGCTCCTGAGACAGGTTTTTTTTTATTTTGTTTTGTTTTTTGAGACAGAGTCTTGCTCTGTCACCCAGGCTGGAGTGCAATGGCACGATCCGAGCTCACTGCAACCTCCACCTCCCAGGTTCAAGCAATTCCCCTGCCTCAGCCTCCCGAGTAGCTGGGATTACAGGTACCTGCCACCACGCCCAGCTGATTTTGTATTTTTAATAGAGATGGGGTTTCACCATGTGGGTCAGGCTGGTCTCTTAACTCCTGACTTCAGGTGATCCGCCTGCCTCAGCCTCCCAAAGTGCTGGGATTACAGGCATGAGCCACCATGCCCGGCCTCCTGAGACGGTTTTTAAAAGAAACTGACACAAGTACAGATCAAGCTTGGGCCCCAAGCAAGCAGGAGTTGAATGAAACAAATAGCTTCTGGGAAGGTGTATATAAATCCACAGGGATGATTTCTTAACAGGCTAAGATCAAGTAAGAGGTTTTAATCCCATGAGTTCATCTGAGTTGGCCCGGCCCCACGTGGCTGGACTTAATGAACAAGGACCATCAGTGTGCAGAGGGCAAAAGCTACATTGCAAAGGATTAGCTGTGAGAGGGTGGTAAGAAATGGGAGCTGCTGACCACTTGTTCAGTGAGATTAGTTCAAAGGCACAGAAGAGCTAAGGGGCAGTTGTCAGAAGCCAGAGCTGAGTGTGTGTGTGTGTGTGTGTGTGTGTGTGTGTGTGAGATAGGACAAGCTTAGCTGTGCGTTGATGTGTGTTCACGTGCACCTCCCAGCCCAAGTGTGCACAGCACCAGTCTTGGGCGTTCAAGCTGAAGCCTGGCTCCTTGTAAGTGTTGGCTGACTCCCTGAGGCCAGGAGGCTTCATTACTTGAGGCCTGGGCAGGCTGAGGACCCTCAAAAGTAAGTGTGAGTAAATCCCACTTCCATAAGCCCAGCTCCCGCAGGTCCTGGAAGAAGGACAGACAGGTGTACACATGGGAGACAAGGACTCCTGACTCCCGATTGGGGCTTTAGCTGGGGAAGGACAAGCGTCTGTGACCAGAGGAGGCACCACACCACCACCAGCACCTCGCCCACCCGGCACCGACTCCTGGCAGATAACTCAGCCCTGCTGTGCTTCCCGTGCTCTTGCCAGCTGTCTCCAGGCCCCAGAAATAATTCCATCATCTCCCCTGGAAGGATGGCAGCTGCAGCTCAAGGGTCTCCAGCAGCTCCTGGAGTGGCTGCTTCCTAGAACAAGGGCCAAATGCTGGAAGAGGGCTCACACCCACTGCCAGGAAACGGGGCGGGGGCTCTTCTCAGCTGGAGACCTCAGGTGTGGGCTGGGGAAAACAGGAGGAAAGGATGTATTTTCTTAACCATGAAAGGACCACAAACCCGGGCTACCTGATGAAACCTAGATTCAGGGTAGAAATTGAATGAGAATATAAAACTACTTTCTTCTCTTTTAAGCTGAAAATTAGTATGAACTGACTACAGCCATATACAGCATCTTGCAAACAATAGTTGAGGGGAAGGAGCAGACATAACAGAGTAAATATGAGGCTGGGTGCAGTGGCTCATGCCTGTAATCTCAGCACTTTGGGAGGCTGAAGTGGGTGGATCACTTGAGGTCAGGGGTTCAAGACCAGCCTGGCCAACATGGTGAAACCCCATCTCTACTAAAAATACAAAAATTAGCCAGGCATGATGGTGCGTGCCTGTAATCCCAGCTATTTGGAAGGCTGAGGTGGGAGAATTGCTTGAACCCGGGGATCGGAGGTTGCAGTGAGCCAAGATCGCACCACTGTGCTCCAGCCTGAGTGACAGAGTGAGACTCTGCCTCAAAAACAAACAAAAACAAACAAACAAACAATAAGAGCAAATACGGTATGATTCCATTCACATAACCATCAAAAACAGGCAAATGGGAATTATAGTACGTAGGCATCTAGTGCTAAAACCATGGCAAAACAAAAACAAGGAAATGATAATCAGAAAACTCAAGATAGGGGTTATTGCTCTGGCAGTGGTTATCTATCTGGCAGGGAGGGAGGGGCCCATGGTAGGGGGAGCTTCTTACATGGTGGGAATTATGAAGGCATTTGCTATTAATTATTCTTTAAACTGCACATATATTTTCTGCATGTTTCTGTATATATCTCATCAAACATTTAAAACTTTAAAAAAACATACAAATACATGTCAAATATGCTTACAATCAAAATATGGACTCAAAGCAGATCAGAAGAGAATAAACAATAGTTTCTGTTGTGGGATAACAAGGGATTTCTGCCCCCCTAATTTTCCAGACTTTCTATATGTTACATTGCTTTTTTTTTTTTTTTTTTTTTAAGATAGTCTCGCTCTGTCACCCAGGCTGGAGTGCAGTGGCACGATCGGCTCACTGCAACCTCTGCCTCCTGGGTTCAAGTGATTCTCCCACCTCAGCCTCCTGAGTAGCTGGAATTATAGGTGCACCCCACCACCTCTGGCTAATTTACAAAATAATTTTTGTATTTTTAGTAGAGATGGGGTTTCACCATGTTGCCCAGGCTAGTCTTGAACTCCTGACCTCAAGTGATCCACCCACCTTGGCCTCCCAAAGTGCTGGGATTATAGGCATGAGCCACCACTCTCTGCCAACATTGCTCTTATAATTAAAAATAAATATTGTGCTGGGCGTGGTGCTTATGCCTGTAATCTCAGCACTTTGGGAGGCTGAGGCAGGAGTATTGCTTGAGCAATTGCCTAGGAGTTTGAGAACAGCCTGGGCAACATAGTGACACCCTGTCTACACACACATACACACACACACACACACACACACACAGACACACACACACACAATAAGCTGGGCATGGTGGTGTGCGCCTGTAGTCCCAGCTAGTCAGAAGGCTAAGGCAGGAGGATTGCTTGAGCCAAGGAGGTCGGGACTGCAGTGAGCTGTGATCATGCCACTGAACTCCAGCCTGGGTGACAGAGTGAGACCTTGTCTCAATGAATAAATAAATAAGTAAATATTGTACTTTAAAATCATGCAAGTACTTTTATATTGTTTGAAAAAAAATTGAAATAAGGTGGAAAACTTTCCCTCTTATTTTCAGGAAGTCCTGCCCTTGTCTGGGACAAACCAATTTCCTTTCTTTCTTTTTTTTTTTTTTTTTTTTTTGAGATGGAGTCTCGCTCTATCACCCAGGCTGGAGTGCAGTGGTGTGATCTCGGCTCACTGCAAGCTCTGCCTCCCGCGTTCACGCCATTCTCCTGCCTCAGCCTCCCGAGTAGCTGAGACTGCAGGTGCCCACCACCATGCCCAGGTAATTTTTTGTATTTTTAGTAGAGATGGGGTTTCACCGTGTTAGCCAGGATGGTCTTGATCTCCTGACCTCGTGATCCACCTGCCTCGGCCTCCCAAAGTGCTGGGATTACAGGTGTGAGCCACCGTGCCTGGCTTCCTTTATTTCAACTCTTGAAATTAAACAAGATTTCAAAAGGGTACAAGGCATTCCCTTTATTTCTGAGTCGTAAGACCCCTTCAAAGAGGCACCAGATACTTGTACTTAAAATGTGTTCCCAGGCTCTCTCTCCCAAAAGAAGTTGCTTTACCTGCCTCTGACTTTAAGCCAATAATGCTTCTGCCCAATCAAAAGCAGCCTTCCTCCTGTGCCTGCTCCTGCCGGCTGTCTTTCTTACGGACCTGACACCTCCATCACTGAGACAGACATTTTTACACCAGTCCAGAATTCCTAAGCCTGAGAAGCAAATCTCATCAGTGCCCATGGAAATTCATGACTAATGGAACCCAGCTTTGAGGAGATGAGCAGCAAGGTGGGTGAGCCACTGTGACCTTGATCCTGAGACTCCCGGGGGCAGGCAGGAAGCACTGTGCCACAGGGGTGGCAGGCCAGTGGGCACTCTCAGGAGGCTTACAGAAACGTCTGGGGGTGAAAATGACCAACTTCCCTTCTTCTGGGGCAGTGATACCACTAGGCTGATCGCATCTGGATTTCAGGGCCCTGTTTTAGAGGGAAATGAATGGGAGTGAGTGAGGATGAGACGGGCACAGAGGGGAGGTGAGGAGGAAATGGGGTGGGCCGCAGGGTGAGCACAGGTGAGGGCAGTGACCTTGGCTGTGCCATGCGACTATGGGCACGTCCTCCCAGGCCCGTTTTCCCAGCTGTCAAGTAGGTGTCAACACCATCAGCACCACATCATCTCAAGAGCTCACACACGATTTCCTAGCAATCTTACAGCAGCCCTGTGAGGAAATGAAACATTATTATCCCCACGTTATGGCTGAGAAAACTGTGGGTTGGAATTCATGCCCAACAGACTGAAGCTTTTTGAAAGCCAAGCCTATGCCTTATTTTGTCCTCTGAGGGTTTGGCACATAGAGGGGACTCATTCAATGTTGGCTGAAAGAAGGCTTGGGTTGGGGAAGTTGTAAGAACCACGGAGATGGCGGTGAGAAAGCAGCTTGCATTTACAGCGTCAGCCACAGGAACGGACTCTGAGCTGTGAGTGATGGGAAAGAAGTCTTCTCAAAAGAGAGTTCTGTGCTGGTTGTGGGTGTTTGGTCAAGGGCTGGGGGAGAGGAGCAAAGCAGGTGTTCTCTGGCATGGAGAAAAGAGGGGAGGCGGAGGTAGGCAAGGGTGGGCTGAGAATGGCAGACAGACTGGCTACCTTGGGGCTGAGAGAGGAAGCTGGGATGAGGATGCAGCTTGGAGAGACAGAACATAAATCAGGGGTGCAGAGCAAGAGGTCGAGGCTCTGAATGAGACACATGGCTCCCAGGGTGCCCTGGCACAGCGGGAGCAGGATCCAAGTGTGGTCATAGGATGCAACTGTGAGTTGGGGACTGGCCTTTCTGCTTCCTTACCCTGGCCTGGGTTGACTGGAGACAGGGAGGGCAGTGATTATGCCAAGCCAGGCATGGGGGTGCAGTGGGTTAACTGGGTGGTGCCCACAGAACAGAAAAGGAAGGAGCAGAGCTGAGAAAGGGCTGAATGCTGGGAGGTTCCCTGGAGGGAAAGGAAAACAGAGTGGGAATGACACTAGCAGTGGCAGCATGGGCCTGGCACAGTGATGGCTCTGCCTGTAATCCCAGCACTTGGGGAGGCTGAGGCAGGAGGATCACTTGAGACCAGAAGTTTGAGACCAGCCTGGGCAGCGTAGTGAGACTCTGTCTCTACAAAAAATCAAAAGTTAGCTGGGTGTGGTGGTGCGTGCCTGTAGACCCAGCTGCTCAGGAGGCTGAGGCAGGAGGATCACTTGAGCCTGGGAGGTCGAGGCTGCAGTGAGCCATGATCATGCCACTGCACTCCAGCCTGGGCAACAGAGTGAGACCCTGTCTCAACAACAACAACAACAACAAACGAGTGGCAGCATAGGTGAGCAGAGCAGAAAGCAGGTGTGGACAGGTGTCTAGGCAGGGACTAGCTGTCCAGGGCACATCTGTGGTTTGTGGAAACACAATAATAAGAGCTGATTTCACCATCTCTCTCTAGGAATCCTTTAGATCAGTTGGAAGATGGCAACTGACCCCACCACCCAAGGTAATGAGGTGGAGGAGAGCAGAGAACCAGCACTCACTGACTGCATGTGTCCGGGGCTGGGAGAGCTCGTCACACACGGAAATCACTGCACAGCTGGCCTTGGAGGTCCATATGCTAACTTCACTTGATAGATAATGACGTGGAGGTGATAACTAGGCCAAGTCACAAGAGAAGAGAAGCAGACGTAATTCCAAACAATCAAAAGGTCTGGACCATGCTAATGGGCTTTTTTTTTTTTTTTTTTTTTCAAATAGAGATAGGGTTTTGCTATGCTGTCCAGGCTGGTCTCAAACTCCTGGCCTCAAGTGATCTGCCCACCTCAGGCTCCCAAAGTGCTGGGATTACAGTCATGAGCCACCATGCACTGGGCTAATGTTTTTATTTTCTCATGTATTGAATGTCCAGGAAACTTCTCAAACAAAACACTGTTGGTTCTACCTACTAAATCAATTTCTCCTCTGTCCTCTTTCTCCAAACCCATTGCTGAAGTCAGGCCCTTATCATTTACTGGACTATGACCTCACCATTACATGGATACTTCTGGTTGGTCCCCGGCCTCCACACTATTAGCAGATTGAGCTTGCTAAAATGCAAATCAGATCATGGAGGCAGGGTTACTGTACTGGGTGCCAGATACTCAACCAACTCTCATGGAGCTCACAAGTTGGTAGTGGAAGGATATGCATCAACCAACATTTCAATAGGAGACAAGGAGCTGGAAGGGCTGCCGGTACCAGAAAGGGTGGGGAAGCACTTCACACTGACTGGGCTGGAGGACTGCTTCTCACAAGTGCCTTGGAGGTGAGTCTGGATGGTTGCTTAGGAGTTCACCAGGGGTCAAGGAAGAAGTCAGGCAAGGATGTTCCAGACAGAAGCTGTGTGGCGCAAGCTAGCTTGGTGCACTCAGGATGGCTGGTGCATTGGATGCATGAGGGTGGAAAGTGGACAGCGGCTGAATCCTTCAAGGCCTGGTGGGACATGGCGTGCCAAGAGTATGGACAAGATGCTGAGTGCAGTGGCAGGGCTGGCTAGCATGGCAAGCAAAGAAGTAGCATCAGTACATTTGCATTCTACATTAGAAAAGGAGAGAAAAGTATAAAATGCTAGAAAAAAACATAGAAGGATATGTTTATAACCTTTGATTGAGTTAGGCTTTTCTTTTTATCATAATCCAAAGCCGGAAACCATAAAAAATCAGAGTAATTTAGACTATACAATAGTGAAAAATTATGATACAGCAAAAGATACCACAAATTACTTTTAATAAAGACAAATAAAAACTGGTATGACAGGTGTGTATCATATAACCAAGGATTAATATTTATATGTAATAGCGCTTCTAAATCCTAAAAGACAAAAAAATACTACAATAAAAAAATAGGCAAAGGATAAGAATAGGTAACCCACAAGGGGAGGAGGGACATAAATAGCTAATAGGCAAATGAAAAGATGTTCACCTTTATTAATAATTAAATAAATGCAAATGAAAACAATGAGATTACATTTTTCACTATTCATAATAGCACACAGAACAATGTCCAAAGCAAATGTAAAAAGCACGCATTCTTATATGTTGTTAACAGGGTTCAAATTAGTATGTTCTCACCAGAAGGAAATCTGAACATCTGCATGAAAACTTAAAATGTGCATTTCATGTCTAAGAATTCCTCCTAAGGAAATAATTGAACAGTTGTACAAAGATGTAGTACGAGGGTGTTTGGTAACACTGTTGTTTATAATAACAAATATTTTGAGATCCAGCTTAAAGTCTGACAATAGGAGGACTGTTTAAATAAATAATGGTATATTCACACAATAGAGGGCTGTGCAGCCATTGAAAAGGATTCTGTAGATCTCTAAGTATTGACATGGGAGGTTATGAGTGAAGAAAGTAGTTTACAGGACAAAACCAGAACCCAAGGTATGTTTATCTATATGTGTATTTATATGAGTGAGATTTCATATATATATGAAACTATTAACTGCAGTTTTCCCACAGGAGAATTACAGTGGAACTCAATCTCTTGGTACTATATAATTTTAAAAATATTGTTATACAAATACAGATGAGTTAAAAGATATTGTGTGACAGTGTCTTATTTAGGGGGAAAGGGGAGTATCTGCATGACAGTGCCAAAATGTAAAACATGAGGCGCTAGCAGGAGATGATTAAACACTAGCTGCTCCAAGGGTTGACATGATCTTCCCAGCATGTACTCAGCAGGTGTGGGGTGGAGCACATGTAGTAGGCACAGAAAACAGGAATGCAGACAATGTGCGTCCCCTGCATCCATGAGTTACATGTATTCTCTTAGTGTCCACATTGTTTTGATGTTATTCATGGAATACCTTCTGTTCTAAATACAGTCACTTAATTCCTTGGCCTTAAAAAAATAAATAAATAAATAGAAATAAAAATATTGTTATAATAAAGTGGCTATGGGCCAGGCGCGGTGGCTCATGCCTGTAATCCCAGCACTTTGGGAGGCGGAGGCCGGCAGATCACCTGAGGTCAGGAGTTCCAGCCAGCCTGGCCAACATGGTGAAACCCCGTTTCTACTAAAAATACAAAAATTAGCCGGGCTTGGTGGCAGGCGCCTATAATCCCAGCTACTCGGGAGGCTGAGGCAAGAGAATCGCTTGAACCTGGGAGGCGGAGGTTGCAGGGAGCCAAGATCACGCCATTGCACTCCAGCCAGGGGACAAGAGCGAGACTTCGTTCTCAAAAAAAAAAAAAAAAAAAAAAGTGGCTGTGGAATCAGTAACAGCACTGGTGAATGGGGTAGTTACACCGGACTACACTCTGAGGATGTTTGTGCCAGGTCAGGCAAAGCCACTAGCAAGCTAACATCTCTTGTATATTTCTTTAACAACCATTAATCTGGACATCATGGCCGGGCGCGGTGGCTCACGCCTGTAATACCAGCGCTTTGGGAGGCCGAGGTGGGCGGATCACCTGAGGTCAGGAGTTCGAGACCAGCCTGGCCAATAGGGTGAAACCCTGTCTCCACTAAAAATACAAAAGTTAGCCAGGCGTGGTGGCAGGCACCTGTACTCCCAGGTACTCGGGAGGCGGAGGCAGGAGAATCTCTTGAACCTGGGAGATGGAGGCTGCAGTGAGCCAAGATCATACCATTGCGCTCCAGCCTGGGTGACGAGCAAAACTCTGTCTCAAAAAACAAAAACAAAAACAAACCCCAAAACCATTAATCTGGACATCTACAGCCAATTGGATCTCTCTACTTTGATATCTTGCTGGCCCTTCTAACCCATCCCATCTAAAACCAAGCTTATCATGCTCTATCTCCACCAGGTTCGTCCTCCAGTGGCCCCCATCTCAGTGAGAGGCACCCCCACTCCACCGTGCACTGGGACGCACCCAGTGAGGGCATCATCTTCACTGAAGAGTGCAAGTGATGGGGCTACCTCCAGGAGGGGTAGTCAATGGCCCCCTTCCTCCATTCTGTTCACCAGGGCCCTGGACAAGGCAGCATCTTCTCAAATGGCTACAAAATGGGAGCAGAACACCCTCTGTAACCTGGCCTACTTGGCTGCTACCTTCCTTTGATGAATGAATGGAAACATGAAGCAAATGATTATTTGGGGTTCAAAAGGCTTTTCCTGATGGTTGAGTCTGAAAAAGTGCAGATAAATTCATTCACCTAAAGAAAAAGAGGAAATGGGCCTTTCCTCTGAGATTGATGCTTGACTGTGGAGCACCTGCTGCATACCTACCGATAAAAGAGATGAATACGTCTACATCTCTTGAAAGCAAGTAAATGGGAGTAATAGAATTTGGGTTGCCTGCCCGTCTAATTCATCTGGAATGCCAGCATTTCCTCTTTTTCATGTTTACCTGCTCTTGCTAGGAGAGGTGGAATTGGAACTGATGACAGACACCCAAATTATTTTTATAAGGACATACAATTTATCCCCCATCTATTCCCTGAAAGGCTGGCCAGATCTCCTTGGTTCCTAGTCCCTGGTAGCCTCTTTCCCACCCCCAGCCACCACCAGCCCAGGCCAAGAACCAAACCCAGAAGGCAGGTGTAGAGTCCAACATACTGAGCCTCCAGGTTGGGATGCCTGACAGTGGACAAGCCCTGACTCTAAGCTCCAACTCCTCTGTTGCTGAGGGCAGGCCCAGGACTCCACGCCAGATACTGACTCCCTGAGCCCAAGCCTGTGTGCAAAGGGCCTCATATCTCTTTCCCAGTAGGCTGACACACCCTTCTTTGTGGTTGCCCATCACCTTCCTCAGGGAGTCAAGGCCTGCCCACCTGTGGTCCCCCACCTGTTGGCACACTCTTCTGACACCAGCTGCTTGCTTCCCCACACTACCTGTGCCTGCACTCCCACCACTGTGCTCTCCTGCCTGTTTTCACCCCACATGCCCACTTGGGTTACCCAATGGCTGCTGTCTCTGCCGTCATGGGTATTTCGCCCACTGGAATGCAGGTTCTCCAGTGTCTGTGATGAGCTGTCCCTTCACCACCCTCCACCCACTCCAGTCCTAGTTCCTTCCCAATCTGCCTTATTCTGTTGCAGTTAATCAAGTGATCCGTTGCTTTTCTGAGAACTGGAGGAATGAAGCAGCTTATAATATTAAAACATATTTATCTCATTTATAAAGGGATTAGAAAACAGGATGAATTTAACAAAATAGGTGCAAAACTTGTACAATGAAAACTCTACAACATTGTTGAAAGAAATTAGAGAACTAAATAAATGTAATATATCATGTTTCTAGATTGCAAGAACAGATATTGTTAAGATGTCCATTCTTTCCAATCTGATCTACAGATTCAACACACCCTCAATCAAAATCCTAATAGGCCTTTTTGTGGATATTGATAAGCTCATATTAAATTTATATAAAATATGTACGACCTAGAACAGGCAAACCAATTTTGGAAAAGAACAAAGGTGGAATCAATCAAACCCAGAGATCAGCAGCCACACCTCTCACCACCTCCCAGAACGCAGGTCTCCCTGCAAAGGCTGGGCCTCCTGGGACACCTGGAAAATGCCACATGAAGTCAGACACCTCCTGCTTTTTTAAAACCTTATTTCAAGACATACTGTAAAGCTACAGTTATCAAGACAGTGTGGTATTGCTGTAAGATAGATGAATATGTGGATGATACAGAATAGAGATTCTAGAAATAGACCTACATATATATATGATCATTTGATTTTTGACAAACGTACCAAGGTAATTCAATGCGGGAAAGAGTAGTCTTTCAACAAATGATGCTAGAACAAATGGATATCCATTTGGGGAAAAAAGTGGACTTAAATGGATCATAGACCTAATCATAGATGCTAACCTATGAACTCCTAGGAAAAAATATAGGAGAAAGTCTTTAGGATCTTGGGTTAGGACATAAAAAGCATGAACCCTAAAAGATAAAATTGTTAAATGAAACTTTTATCGAAATTTAAAACTTGTGTTCTTCATAAGATCCTGTTAAGAAAATGAAAAAGCAAGCCATAGACTGGGATAAAACATTTGCAACACATAGATCTGATAAAGGACTTATATCCAGAATATAAAGATAATTCTTACAACTCAATAATACAATGCAATTAAAAAAATGAGCAAAAGATTTGAAGAGACACTTGAAGAGACACTATTTGTATCTACAAAAAAGATACAAGTAGTAAATAAGCACATAAAAAAAATGCTCAACATAATTGGTTATCAGGGAAATGCAAATTAAAACCACAATGAAATACCACTCTATGCCCAGTAGAATGGTGTATAATGGTTAATTTTATGTGTCAATTTGTCTGGGCTAAGGGATGCCCAGATAGCTGTTAAGACACATTTTTTCTGAGTGTGTCTGTGAGGGTGTTTCTGGAAGAGATTAGCAGTTGAGTCAGTAGACCGAGTAAAGAAGATCCACCCCTCACCAGTGTGGGTGGACATCGTCTAATCCATTTATAGATGTAACAGAATATTTGTCAGGAGATATTCTTTTTCTTTTGATTTGTTCAACCATTTAAACATGTGAAAACCATGTGTAGCTTATGCACCATACAGAAACAGGTGACAAGCCTGGATTTCGCCTGCAGACCATCATTTGCATACCCCAACTGTATCTATAGCAGGGTTCCTCAATCTTGGCACTATTGAAGTTTTTGGCCAGTTAATATTTTGTCCTGGGAGCTATCCAGTGCACTGTAGATGTTTAACAGCATTCCTGGCCTCTCCCCACTACATACCAGTAGTACCTGCCCAGTTGTGACAACCAAAAATGTCTCCAGACATTGCTATATGTCGCCTGAGAGGCACTGATCTATAGGGACAGTAGATCACTGATTGCCAGGGGGGTGAGGGGGAGCACGAGCGGAGGTGGTGGTGGAGAGGAAGGGGGATTGACTAGAAAGAGGCACTTTTTGGGATAATAGAAATATTCCATATCTTGATTGTGGTAGTGATTACATAGGCAAATAAAAATGTCAAAACTCTGAAATATACATCAAAAAATTGTTGTGTTTATTGTATATAAATTATACCTCAACAATGTTGATTTAAAAACAACAAAAATGCATTTAAAAGTGGATTGTTGAAAAGAAGTAAAAAAACATATAATATAGTAGGAATTGCATTTAGCACTAAGCTTCCTAGCAGTTCAAACAAAAGGGGAAATGGTTTAGGAAAGGGAAACCCTTGTTGGATTAAAGGAAGGCTCTGATTCACCCACCAGGAAACATTAAAAAGAGGTTTCAGTCTAAATATTTTAGAGATAGTAAGTCTGTTCTACATGTAAATAAAAATTCTAGAAGGAATTTATGGAATCACTATTTAAGGAAAATAAATATATATTTGACTGCAGTTTTGCAGAAGGTACGGAAATATTTTTCCAACGGCCGTTTTTTGTTTTTTTATTTTTTTGAGACAGAGTCTCGCTGTTGCCCAGGCTGGAGTGCAGTTGCATGATCTTGGCTCACGCCATTTTTAATATAGAGTAAACATCAATAAAAGCTGGGAAAATATTATTAATTTTTTTTTTTTTGAGACAGAGTCACGCTCTGCCAGGCTGGAGTACAGTGGCATGATCTTGGCTCACTGCAACCTCCGCCTCCTGGGTTCAAGCAATTCTCATGCCTCAGCCTCCTGAGTAGCTGGGATTACAGGCACGCACCACCACACCCAGCTGAATTTTGTATTTTTAGTAGAGACGGGGTTTCACCATGTTGGGCAGGCTGTTCTTGAACTCCTGCCCTCGTGATCCGCCCACCTCGGCCTCTCAAAGTGCTGGGATTAGAGGCGTGAGCCACCGCGCCTGGCCCATTAACTTTTTTACTTAGTGATGACACTTCTGTGGAGTGTTCTGTGGAATGACAGAGTCCAATTATAAATTTACATCTGGTGCTCTAACCTTCACAACAAAGAGAATTCAAATGATGTCTTGTGCATCCTTTAGCTGGCAGTGGTAAGGAAGGTGTCTAACTACTGTTGCCCTACTTAGGCACCCGCAACTCCAGCCATCATCTGAGCCAGACTCATGCTCCCTGCTCTCCTCTCTCCTCAGCCCAGTGCTCCAAAGTTTAGAACACGTGTACAAGTGATTTCAGGAGGTACACGTGCCCGGACTTAAATGACACTGAATTATGAGTGAGGAGGCAGTTCCCTTTCCAGTTCTCTTTCTACATGTCTGATTACATCAAGGAAAATATCTCAGCTGGTGGGTGTGTATCTTCTAATACTTCATACTTACTAATCTGTCTTTTTAGCAAAGGAAAGACCAAGGTCTAGTTTGTAATTGGAATTTAATAATACTGTTGGCTTTCATTGTATTTATTTTTCTAGTTATCTATTTATGGCAAATGTTTCTATTTACGATGTTGATATAATGTTTCTTTCAAAAATTTAAGTAAAATAAATTTAAGTAAATTTCAAAACTTCAAGTAAAAATGTAAGAAATAATGTTTCTTTCAAAAAATTAAGTAATGTTTCTGGCTGGGTGTGGTGGCTCACATCTGTAATCCCAGCACTTTGGAAGGCCGAGGCGGGTGGATCACTTGAAGCCAGGAGTTCAAGACCAGCCCAGCCAACATGGTGAAGCCCGTCTCTACTAAAAATACAAAAATTAGCTGGGTGTGGTGGTGCGCAACTGTAATCCCAGCTACTCGGGAGGCTGAGGCAGAGAACTGCTTGAACCTGAGAGGCAGAGGCTGCAGTGAGCCAAGATGGCACCACTGCACTCCAACCTG
Organism: Homo sapiens; assembly: GCF_000001405.40. Taxonomy (NCBI): domain Eukaryota; kingdom Metazoa; phylum Chordata; class Mammalia; order Primates; family Hominidae; genus Homo; species Homo sapiens. The sequence goes on along the minus strand of NC_000002.12, from coordinate 26,871,484 downwards.
GGCGACAGAGCAAGACTCCATCTCAAACAATAATAATAATAATAATGTAATCTTTCTTTCAAAAATTTAAGTTAAAAAAGTAAGTAAATATTTCTATTTATGATGCTGATATAATGTTTCTTTCAAAAATTTAAGTAAATCTATTTAAAGAAAAATATTAGGTAAACAGTCATACAGATGGTGTTCCATTATAAAAATGATGGGAAGGGATAAGTAAGCAACTCAAGTTAGGAGACAATGTTCTCAATCAGGGACCACCAGATTTTTTCTGTAAAAGGCCAGAGAGTGAATAGGTTAAGCTCTGGGGGCCACAGTCACAGGCTCTGTCACATTTTTTTTAAAGTAATCTCTTAAAATGGTGACAACCATTCTTAGCTCACCAGGCCGTACAAGAACTCCACTGAACATGGTCTGCTGACCCCTGATTTGTTGTTTAGCGTGGCAGCTACTAGCTACATGTGGCTACTGGGCACCTGAAAGGTGGTTCGTATGACTGAGGAACTGAATTTTAAATTTTATTTCATTTTAATTTAAACAGACATGTGGCTAGTGGTTAAGTCAATGTGTAGAGCAGCTCTAGCCAATAATTAAGGAAATGTATTAACTATTAACTACTACACAGCAGGCTTAAAAGACAAACAGAATGGAAGGATAGCTACCTCTCAACCTTGTTGTTTTGACTTTCCCTGCCTCTGCCAGTCCATCAAGAGTTGTCAAAAAATGACAGTTTGATGACAAGCTCCTGAACTCATTTTAATTTTTTTTTTTTTTTTTTTGAGACAGAGTCTTTCTTACTATGTCGCTCAGGCTGGAGTGCAGTGGCGGATCATAGCTCACTGCAGCCTCAACCTCCTGGGCTCCAAGCAATCCTTCAGCCTCCCAAAGTGCTGGGATTACAGCCATGTGCATGGCCAATTCATTTTATAAAACCAATATAACCCTAATATCAAAGCCTAATAATGGTAGTACTAAAATAGTAAGCCCTTGGACAAACCTCATGAACATAGATACAAAAGACACAAACTACAGTTGTAAACAATTTGCAGTGTACCAAAAGGATAATACAGTTTGACCTGTCTGGGTTTATTCCATAAGCCAAGGACAATTCATCATGGAAGTTAGCAGCATCATTCTTTACATCCACAAATCAACGGAGAAAAACCAATCAAAATAAATAAAAGTTGAAGACATCTGATGAAATGCCATTCCCAATAAAAATTCTAAGAACCATGGAACAGGACAAAACGACTCAAGTGTAATAAAGACACGTTACCAAAAACCAACAGCAAATATCATTCTAATGAGTAAAGCACAAAAGTCAGTCATTATAATTAGGAACAGAACATGGATGCCTCCCCTGACCTCTATTATTAAACAATTTTACAAGTTGCCAGAAAACGCAGTAAGATAGAAAATTAATCCTCAGAATAAACATGGAAAAAGAAGATACATTATGTTTTTGTTTGTTTGTTTTGAGACGAAGTCTTGCTCTGTCACCCAGGCTGGAGTGCAGTGGCGCGATCTCAGCTCACTGCAACCTCCGCCTCCCAGGTTCAAGCAATTCTCCTACCTCAGCCTCCCAAGTAGCTGGGACTACAGGCGCCTGTGACCACGCCCGGCTGATTTTTTGTATTTTTAGTAGAGACGGCATTTCACCGTGTTAGCCAGGATGGTCTCGATCTCCTGACTTCGTGATCCGCCCACCTCAGCCTCCCAAAGTGCTGGGATTACAGGTGTGAGCCACCGCGTCCGGCCGATACATTATGTTATAGTTGTATAATAAGAAAACCTAAGAAAAGTGGTAAGATAATGGATTATAAGATAAATATAACAAAATCAGTATTTTTTATAGCAAACAGCTAGCAAGAAATAGGAGGAAAAAATGTTCTATTCACAACAGTGAAAAACATTGTAAAGAATAAAACACTAAGAATGACGCAGAAAGGGAATATCTATATATAGAGTATTTTCTCTATTTTGATCTATTTTGAGCAGTGGCTGCCTAGGGCTGGGGGTGGGAATGGGGAGTGTCTGCAAATGGCCTCAAAGTGTCTGTGTGGGGTGATGGACATTTTCTAAAATTAGACTATATGATGGTTACACAACTGTAAAAATCTAATCATCGGCAAATTATACACTTAAAGCAAGTAATGTTATAGTATGTAAATTACACCTCAATACAGCTTTACAAACAAAAAAGAAAGAAAACTAAGAAAGGCTGGCCATGCATAGTGGCTCACGCCTGTAATCACATCACTTTGGGAGGCCAAGGTGGGTGGATTTCTTGAGCCTAGGAGCTCGAAATCCACCTGGGCAACATGGTGAAACCCTGTCTCTTCAAAAAATACAAAAATTAGCTAGGCATGGTGGCGTGCACCCATAGTCCCAGCTACTCAGGAGGCTGAGGTAGGAGGATCGCTTGAGCCCAGGAGGTTGAGGCTGCAGTGAGCTGTGACTGCGCTACTACACTTCGGCCTGGGCAAGACAGCAAGACCCTGTCTCAAAAAACAAACCAAGAAAGGCATAGAATCCTAAAGAACTTCTCAAAGTATAAAAAATAGGATCCAAGCAGAATGAAACAAATATATGCTTAGACAGGAAGACATAATATCGTAAAATGTCAATTTTCTCCAAATTAGTATATAGAAGTGAATACCCAATGTGTTTCTTTTGAAATAGATAATAATGGAATTGAGAGGAGTTGAGAAAATTATAAAAAGGAATAGTGTGGGGAAGATGAAGGGCTTCCTTAGTAGATATTACAATATGCTCTATGAAATCACCGTAGTTAAAACTGTATGGTATCAACAGATAAGGAGAGCAGAATAGAGTGCTTGGTAGCAGATTTCAATTAAATCCAACAGAAGTGATATTTCAATTCAGTGGGGAAAATGACTTATGCAATGAATGATGTGGGCACAACTGGTTATTCATCTGGAAGAAAATTAAATTGGCTCCCTACCTTACAGCATATATCAAAATCTGTAATCCATCTGGAATTTATTTAAATGTAAAACATAAAACAATAAAAAGACTAGAAGACAACCTGGGAGACTGCGTACCACCAAGGAGTAGGGGATCGCTTTTAACTCAGTCTGCAAACTCAGAGGCCACACACACACACAAAGACACAATTCCGACTTGATAAAAATGTTTAAATTTTTATCAAGAAATGAAAGATACTATAGAAATAAATCAATAGATAAATGATAAAGAGTCTGAGAAAACATGTGCAGCGCATATGACAGCAAGGAGCTCTTAACATATTGATTGGAAAAAGACAAACAACCAAGAGAAAGATGGGCATAGGACATCAGTAAGTGATACACAGAAGAACAAAGCTAAATAACCAACAACATATGAGATGATGTTCAGCCTCTGCAGTAGTCAAGGAAATGCAAATACAGGAAGTAACAATGAGGTATCACTTTACATCCATCAGATGGCAAAAATTCAAGCGTGATACCTTGTCATTGGCAGGTCTTGTGGGAGGAGGGGTGCAAATTGGGAGTGGTGGTGAGGAGAATCCATACATGGCTGGTGGAAACGTGAATTATTGCACCCTTCTGAAAAAGTCTGAAAAGGCTCTATTAACATTGTAAAAGGACCTCTGACCCAGCACCTCACCCCTAGGACTCTCTCCATAGAAATAAAAACAACAGAACATGAGGAGACAGGCACCAAGCTGTCCACTGCAGCACTGTTGGCAGGGCAAAAACAAACAATTGGGGGCCGGGCGCGGTGGCTCACGCCTGTAATCCCAGCACTTTGGGAGGCCGAGGCGGGCGGATCACGAGGTCAGGAGATCGAGACCATCCCGGCTAAAACGGTGAAACCCCGTCTCTACTAAAAATACAAAAAATTAGCCGGGCGTAGTGGCGGGCGCCTGTAGTCCCAGCTACTTGGGAGGCTGAGGCAGGAGAATGGCGTGAACCCGGGAGGCGGAGCTTGCAGTGAGCCGAGATCCCGCCACCGCACTCCAGCCTGGGCGACAGAGCGAGACTCCGTCTCAAAAAAAAAAAAAACAAACAAAAAAAAAAACAAACAATTGGGAACAAACCGAATGTCCATCAATAGAGAATGGCAGACTAAATTGTAGCATTATCCATGCCATGGGATATTATGCAATTTTAAAAAGATTTATATCAGTTGGCCTACAGTCTCTTCCAAGATTAGTGATAAGGAAAATTGCAGAGATGATGTATTTTACCAAAATGTAAATCCAATGCATGTACCCTGGACACCCACACACAGACATAACGTTAAATCGGATCCCATTTAGTTAAGATGAACAAGGACAAAAGATATTTACCTATGTACATATATTTATATACATTGATGTGTATAGGGTAAACTGTGGGTGGAAACACCCCAGTTTATGTTGGTTACCTAAGGGTGAACGGGTGGTGTTTAGTAGGAGATGATGAGACAAAGAGTCTCATTAATTTTTAGTCCAGGCTCGGTGGCTCACACCTGTAATCCCAGCATTTTGGGAGGCCGAGGCATGCGAATCATTTGAGGTCAGGAGTTCGAGACCAGCCTGGCCAACATGGTGAAACCCCGTCTCTACTAAAAATACAAAAGAATTAGCTGGGCGTGGTGGCACACACCTGTAATCTCAGCTACTGAGGAGGCTGAGGCAGGAGAATCACTTGAACCCGGGAGACGGAGGTTGCAGTGAGCCGAGATCATGCCACTGCACTCCAGCCTGGGCAACAGAGTGAGACTCTGTCTCAAAAAAAAAAAAAAAAAGAAGAAGAATTTTTAAGTTTATTTTATTATTACTTTTATGGATATATCATAGTTGTACATATTTGGGGGGTTCATGTGATATTATGATGTATGTATATAATGTGTAATGATCAAATCAGGGTAATTGGGATATCCATCACCTCAAACTTTATCTTTTCTTTGTATTGGGAACATTACAATTCTTCTAAGCCTCATTTTTTAACAAAGAAAGAAAAAATAACAATTACAATGAACATTGTGTGTGTGTGTGTGTGTGTGTGTGTTTGCATAATGAGATGCATGAAAGGTGGTCACCAAACTGCTAATGGTGGCTATTTTAGGGTTGTGGGATTTCAGGTGTCTTGTTTTCTTCCTTACGATATCATTTACATTTTCCACAGTGAATATGTATTGTTAATAAAATCAGGGGAAAACTATACTCACCCAGTCAAATTTACTGAGCCTCTATTATGTGTCATGCACAGGACTAGATGTTTTATGTATTTCATTTCTTATCCTCACAGCAACACTGCAGTGAATGAGGCCAGTGGGGTTCAGAAGCGTTAGGTAATTTGCTTGATATCACACAGATTATTAGTAAGTGTGGAAGGGCAAGCTCTAAACCCAGGCTTAACTCCTAGACATTCTCTTTCCTGCCTTTACTCTGAATTCTCATTTAGGGGCTATGCTGTTCACAGGGCATTTATCCTTCATCTGGCCAACTCATATGTCACTTCACTCACCATGCAGACAAACACCCACCGGGTGCCCCTCACTGTCCCTGATGGTGGGGTTCAAAATGAGTGTTACAGAATCCTTGCCTTCAAGAACTGCAGGTCTCTATCTGTTAGATTTTAGTCTGTAATTGCTGGTGGGGGGCAAGGGCTGTGTGTTACAGATATCTGTGTTGACATCTGTGTTGATACTTGGCATAGGTCTCTGTAAATGTCCCAATTCATTGCTTACAACTGAGGAGTTTAAAGCACACACAAAAAAGCCATGAGCTATCTTTTCCAGCCTTTTGACTCTCTCTTCACCCATAAGGTCTTTCTAATGGGCCACACCTATTATGATAAAATGTTTATACAATAAAGTGGGCTCTGATGACTTCAAGCTCACCATGCATTTAAAAATGGACACAGGCCAGGTGTGGTGGCTCATTCTTGTAATACTAGCACCTTGGGAGGCCAAGACGGAAGGATCACGAGGTCAGGAGATCAAGACCGTCCTGGTCAATATGGTGAAACCCTGTCTCTACACAAAAAATTAGCTGGGCGTGGTGGTGCATGCCTGTAATCCCAGCTACTCGGGAGGCTGAGGCAGGAGAATTGCTTGAACCTGGGAGGCGGAGGTTGCAGTGAGCTGAGATCGCGCCACTGCACTCCAGCCTGGGTGACAGAGCAAGACTTCGTCTTAAAAAAAAAAAAAAAAAAAAAAAAAAGAACACAAAACCCTATCTCCACATCTTAACAAAGAACAGAGGACTCTACAGTTAGGAGGAAAGACCATGCTTTCTGTGCTATTTGTTGGCTATTTGGAGCATGAAGGATGTGAACAAAGGTTTCCAAAGAAAGAAGGAACAAGAGATGTTATTTTAATACAAAATCAGAAGGAGGAAAAAAACACATTGCATTTATGCACACAGTTTTCTTATTTAAATATACAGAAACACTAAATGTATTTTCAAAACTCATCATTGTATTGTCACTGATTTTAATTAGGAAAGAAAAATTGCTGAGGGTGGTCTGGAGGCTCAGGGCAACGAGGGGGTCTGTGAACGGATGTAGATGAAGACAAGGTCTCCTCATTTCTGACCCTCTTGGGCCCCCTTCTTTAGACCAGCAGCCTTGGACTCCCCTCAGCACATAGACCCCAAAGGCGAAGAGTCAGGAAGAGGTGGAAACAGGGGAGTACGGATGTGCTTAGTTGACCCCGGCCACCTTGGGCGTCTGTCCCCCTCTCCCCTGCTGCCCAAGCCTCCCTGCTCTCACAGGCCAGCCAAGTAGGTCCCTCTCCAAGTGCCTGGCCCTTCCTGCAGCTTCACACTCATCCCTCTGCCTAGCGTCTTCTTCCCAAATCCAGTCCAACACTCATCAGTGAAGATCTCTGCTGCATCCTAATGGCCAGGATGGTTCACGTTAGTCATTCTCTGTCACTTTACTGACAGTTGCACAATCTACACCCAGAAAGTGACTGAGACTTCTTCAAGACCAGCACCTCCATCCACCTTTTCCTTTCCGTGGTACTTAGATGGTGCCTGGCTAGTGGCAGATGCTTAGAGAATGTTAATCATCTTCCCCACCTTTCCCATCATCTACTCAAATAATCCTACTTTGGGATCTGCACCTGCTCTGGATGGAAAGCCATCTGGATGCTGTCAGCATTGTTGAGGCATAGCCCCTTTCAGACTGGGGCCCCAGGGGTGTGGCATGAGTAAGGCACTTCTTTCTTCCTGGAGCACTCTTGTGGGGCTAAACATTTAAACTGTGTGTAATTTCTTTTCTTTTATGAGACAGGGTCTGGATTCATTGCCCAGGCTGGAGTGCAGTGGAGCGATCTGGGCCCACTGAAACCTCCGCCTCCAGGCCTCAAGTGATCCTTCCACCTTAGCTTCCCAAGTAGCTGGGACTACAGGCGCGCACCACTACACTTGGCTAATTTTTGTATTTTTTTGAAAGAGATAGGGTTTTGTCATGTTGTCCAGGCTGGTCTCAAACTCCTGGGCTCTAATGATCCACCCACCTTGGCCTCTCAAAGTGCTATGATTACAAGTGTGAGCCACTGCACCCGGTCTAACTATATGTAATTTCTGAAATTCCTTGTATCTATTAAAACGAAAAGGAAATACTGTGAACTAGAGTGCAGACAGTGCATTAATTTTCTTAAGATTAAAAAATGTGGCTTCAACAGTCACAAAAGGCCACATATTGTACGATTCTATGTATATGAAATGTTTAGAATCAGCCAATCCCTAGAGACAATACGTAGATTAGTGGTTGCCAGGGGCTGGAGGGTTGGGGAAGAGATGGTAGTGGAAGAAACAGAGAGTGACTGCTAATGCGTATGGAGTTTCTTTTGGGGTGGCAAAAATGTGGTAAATTTAGACTATGGTGATGACTACACAACTCTGTGAACACACTAGAAACCATTGCATTGCACACTTAGTATGGGTGAACTCTATGGTATGAAAGTTGTATCTCAATACTCAATAAAGCTGTTCAAGCAGGCTTCAAAGATATTTCCAACTTGTACCAGGGTGCTGCAGGCCCAGCCCACAAGCTCCCAGGGGTATGAGCTCCTTTTCCTTTACCATTCTGGGCAAGATTTGAGAAGCAGTGATAGGAAAGGAATGGAAACTCCAGCCTGGTCCACAAGTCAAGAAAATAGGTACATGCCTGGGGGGCAGGTCAAGACTGTCCCACACTCCTGGTCAGCAGCTGAAACTGAGCCAGCTTAAAGGGGGAGGATGCCAATGGCCTGGGGCCCATGTCAGAGCTGTGGCCAAGAGTGCCAGGGCTAGTATGGCTCCACACAGCTGAACATTGGAGGAAGGGGTGGGCCAGGGGCAATGCAAGTGGTTGGCTCAGTGAAAAAGTGAAGGGACATTCTGGTGACATGTGGGAAGGGACTGGGCTCCCCATATGGATTCTGAGGAAGATAATTATGGAGGTGGGTGGTGGGGGAAAGGGAGCCTCTCCTCCCGCTGTGTTGGAGAGAGGCCCTCAGAGTGCATGTGTCAGATGCTACAGGGTCTATTCCAAAAAGGGGATTCCAAGGGGAGGGCACCTCAACAAGTCCCCTCCCCTCCACCTGAACAAAACCCAACAAAAACACCAGGGGCAGGCAGAAACAGCTTCTGGAATAGGCTGTACACATTGAAAATGGCCATGTAATGGGGTGCTGATCACTCCTGCAACTGCTTCTAGTAAATTCCTCTGCACAGCTCCGTCCCAGCCTCCCTTCCCACCAACTTAGTCAATACAGCTGCCCCACTCTGCTGGACCTCCACACAGAGGCTGGATGTGCCTGGCATCCCGGTGACTTCCACCAGCCTTGTCACAGTCAGGCACACAGCGGCTCTCTGCCAACATCCAGGCAGAAGCCAGGGAGCAGGTAGGGATGGGGAGGGGGAAGGAAGAGTGCAGACCCAGAAGAAAAATAATCAACAAACATGCAATGGCTTCCTGGGGCAAAATGAGCCAGGAAAACGTGGACAATAAATGATGAGATTATCATAGCTTGGGGGACCATACCTCCCAGTATGCCTGGCATAGACCCAGTTTATCCCTATAGACCCAAGTAGATCATTAATAGCAAATAATAATCACTCTCCAAAGTGCTCTGCTTTGAAATATAAATTATATGACCACCCAAGTGAGAGCACTTCAGGCAATTATTGTGAGATACATTCACGAAAAGAAAGAGAAATAAATTCAGCTCAACATATTCATTGATAACCAACTTGCTGAGGGGCCTTGCGCCAAGTGCCACAAGAGAGCCCTGTATTAGTTTTCTATGCTGTGTAACAAATGATCACAAATTTAGTGGCTTAAAACAACACAAGCTTATTTCCTCACACTCTGTGGGTCAGGAGCCCTGGGTCCTCTGCTTAGAGCCTCACAAGGCTGCAATCAAGATGCTGGATGAGCTATGTTTTCATCTGGAGACCTGCCTGGGGGAGAACTTATTTCCACACTCAGTCACATTGTTGGCAGAATTCATTTCCACATGGTTGCAGGCTCTCAGCTAGAGGACACCCTCAGCTCCTAGAAGCCACCAATTTCTTGCCAAGTGGGCTTTCCCAAAATAGCCACTTACTTCATCAAGCAAAAAGAGTCTCCAAAAGGAGTTTGCTAGCAAGATAAGGTATTATATAACATAATAAGGGAAAGGACATTCCCATCACCCCTGTTGTATCCTATTAGTTAGAAGCAGGTCACAGGTCCTGCCACATTCAAAGATAGAGGATTACATAAGAGTGTGAACACCAGGAGTTAGAGATCATGGCCGGGGGATGGCATGAATCTGTCTTCACGTCCTTAGAGAGAAAACATGTCCACAAGTAATTGAAACACAAGGCAAAATGAAATGAATGCTCTACATGAGGAAGCCAATTCTATAGGAGCATCCAGAGGCTTCCTAACCCATCATCCGAGACCAAAGAAGGCAAAAATCACCATTCTCTCTGCACCGATACCACTCACTGAAAGCTAAAGTGCCCTGTGGGTTCCTCCTCTGTGAAATGACTAAACGTTCTCTAAAGTTCTTTTAGACCCAATATCCTATGATGACACCTGGCCCAGTGCAGGTATTCATCAAGCACTTGCTGCCTGAAGGAAGGGATGAAGGGATGAGCAGACACACACATCACACACATTGTGAACCTGTGGGAAGGTTCACAATGCCCAGTTAGTGCTTCTCATCTTCTGTGTCCTACAGTTCCAACCAAGTTTTCCTCTGAATAAAAAAGACTCAAAGGGGAAATATTGGAAAAGCTATTTGATAGTCAGCAATAATGGGTCATACCTACTTCCTGATCTCAGAGCCTTTCTTGTTTGAATGGGCAGTCAAAAAAACACAGTCTGTCTGTTCAGTAAGCCTGAAAGCCCAACTCTGTATGCTTGTGTCTTATTTCGGAGGCCTGCATCTGGGGGTCCGTTTGGGAACATAAGCCATCCACATGGGCCCAAGAACTTCACCCTCCTCAAGTCTTGTTGAGTCTCTGACAGGGTGAGCCAGAGCCAGCCACGGGTGACAAATTATTATTACTGTTTAGACAGGTAAAACATAGACATGATAAACATTTAAAGCCATGTAAATTGTGAGTTTTCCCAGCTCCTCCCTGACCCCTCCAGAGACAAGCAACATCATAGGTTTTGTTGTGTTTCCTTCCATGGATGGTCTATGCATATTTAAGTATATATTTCACATTACATAATGTATTACAGAAAGGGTGGCACGCATTAAATATTGTTCTGCATTGTTTTCCTCCCATTCAATGATATATATTAGAGATTGTTCTACATCAGAACAGAAATACCTGCCTTATTCTTTGTAATGGCTGTATGGTATTCCTTTGTAAGGACGTGTCATAGTGCATTCCATTCATTCTCCAATGATAGGTCATGTCTAATTTTTTCCTAGTACAAATAGTGCTGCAATAACAGCCCTTCCTATTTTTCATCAAGCACATGTGCTTGTATATCTTTAGGAAAAATTGCTAGCAGTGGTACTGCTGGGTTAAAAGGAATGTGCAGTTTTAATTTTGATAGATAGTGTCAAACTGCAAATCTGCCAGTTTTCACCAATGAAGAATTGTGACAGCTCAGCAGCAACACAGGGTGTCTGTCACAGGACATCAAAGCAGTCAGGACAGCATCCAGTCTGCATCTTCTCATTTGACAGACACAGGAGGGGAGAGGCGTTGTGCTAAACTTCTCCTTATGTGAGGGAGAAGTTTACATTCTCCAATTGTCATATTGTCCAGCCTGTGTCCATTTGACAATCATGTCCCTTTGATTGTTTTTATATACATTTATATGTCACAAAGCACCTAATTTAGCATCTGGACAATACCATTAGCTCCACTTAGCACTTACCACACTCCCACCAGACTCAGTGCACGTTTTCACTTTAGTCCTCTAGAAGCCTGTGAGGACGATATTAGCATCCCTTTAGTTCACAAGGAAACTGAGGCTTGAGGAGATAAAATGACTTTACCCAAGATCTCTCGTGCCTAGGAAGTAACAGTCAGGATTCCAACCCCATTTCTCTCCCATGCACTAGCTCCTTCCTGGAAATCGCACTGCCCGTTGCAGGCACTCAGGAAATAGGTGCAGGTCTGAGAGGAGGTTCAAGCCCATCTCAAACAACAGCCCAAGGCAAGTTAAGTGCACAGTTATCAGACAGTAAACCTCTCTCTCCCTTGCCAGGCAGCACTAACATTCATTTCCATTTCTGGCTATTTGCACTCTGTTACCAGATACTCAAACTTAGCAATGGGTGCGTCTCATAACCGAATCATCTCTCTGCAACACCAAGACCATTTAATTTCTGTCATAATGGCCAACATCAGGTGCTATCTGCCACTGAGACAGCACAATTTTATAGAATTAATTGATAAAAATCAGCTTCACTTGGAATCTTTTGTCCTCCAAATTATTCCTGTTAATGACTGAGTAGCTCACACAATTTTATTCCTACTTTCACACAAATTCTTCAATGACCAACTTGCCAATTAAGGCTGATTAGAAAGTATTTGCTGATCAGGAAACTTTGTGAAGTTGGTCCTGAAATAAAGGAATTAACAGGTATTTATACATTTCTCTTAATGTGAAAACTATCAGGTACTATAGATAGAATTGTACCCCCTATGCCAAAAACATTTGGAAAAAAAAAAAACACAATCTCTATTCTCAAAAACATATTATCAGCTAGGTATGAAAATGATATATGTGATGTTCACAAAGATACGAATGAGGATTTTTGTGGTTGTACTATCTAAAATAATTAAAAACTTGAACATAACCTTAATGTTCATCAATAAGTAAATGCATAAATAGAATCTAATAACATATGAAAACAAAATGAATTAAAAAAATGGAATCTAGTACATTCCAACGGAACTGAAGACTGCCATTTAAAAGCTTCAATTTGTAAATTAGATAGAGACATGGAAAAGTTTTGATGAAAGAACAGAATATGAAATAATTTCCATGCCATGGTAACAACTCTGTAAAAATTTATGTAAACATATGGACAAAGGCTTGAATGGAATCAGCCAAAATTACATTAGCTAGGCAAACAAAATTGTCTATGGGTGGTTTATAATTGATTAAATATTGGAGTATTAGATTTATATATTTTAAAGTACAAAATTAGGCCAGGTGTGGTGGTGGATGTCTGTAATCCCAGCACTGTAGGAGGCCAAGGCGGGGGGATTGCTTGAGACCAGCAGTTCAAGACCAGCCTGGGCAACATAGGGAGACCCTATCTCTACGGAAAAAAAAAAAAAAAAATAGCTGGGTGTGGTGGCATCCACCTGCACCTGTGGTCCCAGCTACTTGGGAGGGTGAGGTGAGAGGATTGCTTGAGCCTGGGAAATCGAGGCTGCCCCAATCATGCCACTGCACTCTAGCCTGGGTGACAGAGTGAGACCTTGTCTCCAAAAAAAAAAAAAATTAAATCCTATATTATAAAAGATATGAAATATGAAATATTTAAGTGCTTAAGGGACTCAGAGTTTAAGCAGTAAGTCGAGGTTTTAAAGAAATGTTAAGTCTGGGCTGGGTGCGGTGGCTCACGCCTGTAATCCCAGCACTTTGGGAGGCCGAGGCGGGCAGATCACGAGGTCAGGAGATCAAGACCATCCTGGCTAACACGGTGAAACTCCGTCTTTACTAAAACTACAAAAAATTAGCCGGGCTTGGTGGCGCGTGCCTGTAGTCCCAGCTACTCAGGAGGCTGAGGCAGGAGAATGGTGTGAACCCAGGAGGCGGAGCTTGCAGTGAGCCGAGATCGCGCCTCTGCACTCCAGCCTGGGTGACAGAGAGAGACTCCGTCTCAAAAAAAAAAAAAAAAAAATGTTAAGTCTGATCTCATTCACTTGTTTGTATAAAGACAAATACCAAACATGGCAGACCACATGCTAAAAAAAATCTTTCTCAGGAACAATTTGGGCTGTGAATGGATCACATAAGGCAAAAACCAGCCAAGTTAGGAGTTCATGACTGCCTTGGCAGGCTCCTCTGGCTGCTCGTGTTTCATTACCACCATCCTATAATTATGCCTCAACCACTGTCCTTTATGCACACTGGCCATGCCCATCACTGCCATCTCTCCTGGGCCACATGACGATACTGGCCATGAACATGAGATGCGACAGGCTGAAGGTTAGTGCTCATATTGTTGTGCCTTATCTTTACTTTTTTCATTAGTTGCAGAGGTTCTTTCCATTATAATCCAACTGTAAAAATCACATCTATTTTAAGTTTTTCCAGAAACCTACAGAAAATAAGATACATGTCATAATTCTATTTCTAAATTTAAAAAAGGCAGTGTCCTGTCTGGCCATTATAGGAAATCTGAAATTATTATAAGAAATAAGAATTCTGGCCATTATTAGAAATCAATATCCTGTCTGGCCAAATAAGAAATCTGAACTCTGTGATTCCAAGCTGACACTTTTGTGGGATTTTTTTTCTTTTTTTTTTTTGAGACAGAATCTTGTTCTGTCGCCCAGGCTGGAGGGCAGTGGAGCAATCTCGGCTCACTGCAAACTCCACCTCCCGGGTTCAAGCGATTCTCCTGCCTCAGCTTCCCAAGTAGCTGGAACTACTGGTGTGCACCACCACGCCCAGCTAAGTTTTGTGTTTTTTAGTAGAGACGGGGTTTCGCTATATGTTGGCCAGGCTGGTCTCGAACTCCTGACCTCAGGTGATCTGTCCACCTTGTGCCCGAAAAGTGCTGGGATTACAGGCGTGAGCCACCACGCCTGGCTGAGACTTTTTTTAAGCCACAGAAATCACACAATTCAAAATTGCTATTTGACCCAATACAAGAAATATAAATTAGTTAACAATAAAAAGCACTTGTTAATCTTGCCCAAGGCTGTCAGGACATCTCTGGAATGATATCTGGACCAATGTTGCATTTATAATATGATTTTCATCTTTTCCTCAAGAAACATGAGTTAAGAAAACTGCAGTAGCAAGACTAAGGTAGACGTACACCGCTTAGTTTAAAAGTGTTCATTTCAGCCAATCAATTGGTTATTTGTGGACAATTCTTGAAAACTAGTATAATATATATTATATATACATATATAATATTTATTACATATATTATATATGTATATATAATATATATAATTTTTTTAACTGATAGATTACTGTGGAGTCAGAGATATAGCTTAAAGTTCTACTTTTTGCTGAAGAATAAGAGTTGGAAGTCAACCTCTGATCCAGCCATAATATTGTGCCAGTCTTTAGGATTTTGGTTTAAACAGCTGCATTGTATACTTCAGAGGATTTTTTTTTTAATTTCTCCATTAATCTTAGCATTTGGCACAATTTACTAAAACAGAACATGTGTGTATCCCTGACCCAGTAATTTCACTCCTAGGTATATATATACCCAACAGAAACACCTACTAGAATGTTCACAGCAGCACTGTCCATGAAAGCCCCAAACCGGAAACTATCCAAATACCATTAGCAACATAACTGACACATTTGGTACATACATACAATGGGATGCTATATAGCAATGAAAAAAATAAGCAAATTAGATACAACAGTAAGAGAAATCTCGCAAATATAACCTTGAGCACAAGAAGCCCCTGGTGAGAGAATATCCACTACATGATTCCATTTGTAAAAATTCAAAAATAGGCAAAGCTGATTGATCTGTGTATAAGCAGTCAGGATATGGAGGAAGAATACTAAGTAACTAGAGACTCTCCTTGAGTACTGATAATTCTGTTTCTTTCTTTTTTTCCCTTTTTTAAATAATAAGATTTTGAATCAGGCAGGCTTCTGAGCCATAGTAGGCTCAGAGACTCCAATTTTCTGTTTCTTAATTTGGTGCAGATTACATGGGTATGTCTCATCAAGCTATACACTTATGGTTTGTACACTTCTCAGTTTATCTGTTATACTTTACTAGTTTTTTTTAAAATGCACCCTCAGCCACTGTACCCCCCAAAAGTGACTGTTTCATGTATGTGTATTGCCACTTGACAATACGGCAAACTTAAAACAATTTAAGTAACTTCATTAAGGTTGAAAGTGTTTCACGTATGCTGGAAACAAGAGCAAAAAGATATTAAATGAAAAAATTGGGGGTTGTTTTTGAATTTTATAACAGAACAAACATATCAATCTACAAGGTCAGAAATCCGAAGTAAAAAATTAGAAAGGAGGCGGCTTCTGTATCAATAGTGGATCTTGCTCTGCAGAAGGACAAAGGGAGGGACAGGACCAGACAAAAGAAGGGAGAATAAAGACCCAAGGCGTGAGAATTTCGAGTCAGCCCATGGCGGATTTGAAATCAACAAAGGGGCAGCTTAGAAATGGACACTGGAGTGACACAAAGATGGTGTGATTGAGTACCGGGCACTACTAACATGTGGGAGACACACATTCACAGGGAGTCCAGGCAGCAACAGACCTCAACCCCTTTGCCAAACCAATGAAAGTGGACAGATGTTAGGTAGTAGGGAGTGACACGTGCACAATTCAGAATGCAGAAGTTCTCCTTTCTTTCCAAAAGAATCTAGTCATTCACAAAAACTCAATCTTACTTGGGCCAGATGATTTTTTTTTTGAGATGGAGTCTGGCTCTGTCACCCAGGCTGGAGTGCAGTGCCGCGATCTGGGCTCACTGCAGCCTCTGCCTCCTGGGTTCAAGCGATTCTTCTACCTCAGCCTCCTGAGTAGCTGGGACTACAGGCACCTGCCACCACGCCCAGCTAAATTTTTGTATTTTTAGTAGAGACGGGGTTTCACCATATTGACCAGGCTGGTCTCGAACTCCTGACTTTATGACCCACCCGCCTCAGGCTCCCAAAGTGCTGGGATTTCAGGCATGAGCCACCGCGCCCAGCATGGGCCAGATGATTTCTAATTTAAAAGGGAGGCCAGGCGCAGTGGCTCACGCCTGTGATCCCAGCACTTTGGGAAGCTGAGGCGGGCGGATCACCTGAGGCCAAGAGTTCCAGACCAGCCTGGCCAACATGGTGAAACCCCGTCTCTACTAAAAATACAAAAATTAGCTGGGTGTGGTGGTGCATGCCTGTAATTCCAGCTACTCGGGAAGCTGAGGCAGGAGAATTGCTTGAACCGGGAGGCAGAGGTTGCAGTGAGCAGAGATCGCACCACTGAACTCCAGCATGGGCGACAGAGTAAGACTCCATCTCAAAAAGAAAGGAAAAGAAAAAGAAAAAGAAAAAGAAAAAAAATTTAAATGGGGAGCCAGAGGTCTCAGTAGCTGGAAAATCCTGTAAAATATCACCTAAAACCATTCAGTCATTCTTTCAATATTATCTGTTGAATGGTTACTCTGAGCAATATTCTGGGCTAGAAGCCACCTGGACGAGAAAAGAGGTCCAAATTCTATTTTAAACAAGGTAAGGTGCAGCATTTTGTAATGGGATAGCCTATTGCTAAATTATTTAGTTAACTGTGAATCTCACACCCAACTCATAAGGTTCTCAGCTTGAGGTACTGTTTAAAGGCATGGATCCTTTTATGGTTAGGGTTTCTTTCTTTTTTTGTTGTTGTGGTTTTTTGTTTTTTTGAAACAGTCTTACTCTGTCACCCAGGCTACAGTGCAATGGTGTGATCTTGGCTCACTGCAACCTCCACCTTCCCAGTTCAAGTGATTCTTGTGCTTCAGCCTCCTGAGTAGCTGGGGCTACAGGTATATGCCACCATGCCTGGCTAATTTTTGTATTTTTAGTAGAGACAGGGTTTCGCCATATTGACCAGGCTGGTCTCGAACTCCTGACCTCAAGTGATCTTCCTGCCTCGACCTCCCAAAATGCTGGGATTACAGGTGTGAGCTACTGTGCCTGGCCTAGTTAGTTCTTTGTGTCAACTTTGCTAGGCTATAGTACCATTATCCAATAAAAGATTCATCTAAATGTTGCTGTGAAGGTATTTTGTAGATGTGGTTAACATCTATAATCAGTTGACTTTATTTTTTTTTTAATTTTTGAGAGAGTCTTGCTCTGTTGCTCAGGCTGAAGTGCAGTGGTGTAATCACAGCTCACTGCAGCCTTGACCTCCAAGGCCCAAGCAATCCTCTGACATCACCCTCTCAAGTAGCTGGGACCACAGGCATGTGCCACCCCACCTGGCTAATTTTTTTTAACTTTTGTAGAGATGGAGTTTCCCTATGTTTCCCAGGCTGGGTGGTTGACTTTAAGGAAAGGAGATTTTTCCTTGATAATGTGGGTGGGCCTCATATGATTAGTTAAAAGGCCTTAAGAGAAAAACTGAGTTTTCCCTGAGAAAGAAGAAATTCTAAGTAAAGAGTGCACCATGAGCTCCTGCCTAGTTTCCGGTCTGCCAGCCTTCCCTACAGATATGGGACTTGCCAGCCTCTCCAATTGCATAAACCAATCCTATTGGTTTTGTTTTTCTGGAGAACTGATTTTCTGTTTTTCTGGAGAACTCCAGTTATCCTGGAGAACTGATACAGATGGTAATCAAACCCCTTGAGTTCAAGGCCTGGCTCTGCCATGTCCCCATCTGGGTGTCCTTTTTACTTTTGTTGCCTCATTTGTAAAATGAGGATAATAACAGTAACCTAATGCATAGTAATCAGAACCACCCCTGGCACAGAGTGCTTTGAAAGTGTTTGTGAAATAAATAACTGTGGTTCCAAGTTGCACAAAATTCTGTATTTCTTAGCTGGAAAACCTGAGTTTTCTTTATTCCCAATAATTTGCCATCAACCAAACATGATGACTCTTCCCCACACCAAGAATTACATAGCCTTGGGACAACAGCTCCTCACCAGCCACGCCAGCCTAACCCCACTCAAAGGAATGATGCAGCAAAGCTGAGGTCACAGCACTTCTGGAACACTCTTAATTCTCCAAGTTCTCAGCTGCTAAAAACAGCTGAGCTTAAAGAGGCTGCCAGGAAACAGACTCCACAGAGAGCTATTCCTACTATTTGCAAGGGTGGGAGTTTTAGAAAGGAGTCCTAATCATTCCTTGTGTTCCCACTGTTAATCCCTACAGCAACTTGCCATGGCCCCTTGGGATGAAAGATTAAATGGGGAATCAAAGTGTTGTTTTTGTGGACACACATTTTAGAGGGAGAATATGATGCTGCTGCTGATGGTGATGATAACTTTTACTGAGCACTTACAAGATGCCAGATGCTGCTCTCAGTGCTAACCATTAACACATGTAAGCCTCAGAACAACCCCAGATGTAGATACTGTTAAGTTGGTGCAGAAGTCACGGCAGTTTTTGTCATTAAAAGTAATGGCAAAAACAGCAATTACTTCTGCACCAACCTAATACAACCATCCTCATTGCACAGATAAACAGAAAGTGGCCAAGGTGAAATCTGAACCCAGGCTTTCTGGCTCTCCCTCCTGTACACGCTACCGCTGAGCCTGGATTGTGACGAGGGAGGAGGGAGGCGAGGGAACAAGTACAGAACAGGGCTGTGATTGATGGGAGTGCTTGGCAAGCTCGGGTTCAATCAATGGTTAAATCAGCTTATTTTAAATGAAACAAGTTTCAAAGACTGAAGTAGAACAAATCATACACCATGTTCCTCCCTGAATTTCTTTTGTTCAAGTGTATAATTTGTGCCCACTTTTATACATAAATACCAAAGCTCACAAAAGATTCATGTTATGGTATTTCAACCTTTCATCTTCACATAAAAAAAAGCAAGGCAAAGCGATTTTGAAATTATTTCTCATTTATGCACCAGCAGTGCAATGAAATCAAACACCTGCTTATTGGAAAAATGATAAAACACATTTATTCTTATTTGCTCCCATATTACACCAAGTTTTCCCTACAGGACTTCATGTTGACAAAGATATCTTGTTCTACAGGATTCCTGTGAATTAAGTCTTAGAAGACTTTTCTGGAATATGTTTTTATACCTCAGAAAACAAAAAAGATACACAAGATCAGATTCTATCAGAAACTGGTAAATTTTCACACCAGGAAGATAGACTGGGTCTCAGATACTCTTGTCCAACTTCTCTGGCTCTCAATATTTTTCTATGCCCCAAGAAAATGATCTGAACACACAATTCACATTTTTTTTTTTGAGATAGAGTCTCACTCTGTTGCCCAGGCTGGAGTGCAGTGGCACGATCTCAGCTCACTGCAACCTCGGCCTCCCAGGTTCAAGTGATTCTCCACCTCAGCCTCCTCCCAAGTAGCTGGGACTACAGGTGTGCGCCACCACGTCAGGCTAATTTTTTTGTATTTTTAGTAGAGATGGAGTTTCACCATGTTGGCCAGGCTGGTCTCGAACTCCTGACCTCAAGTGATCCTCCTGTCTCAGCCTCCCAAAGTGTTGGGATTACAGGCGTGATCCACTGTGCCTGGCCACAATTTACTTTTACCCCAGAGACCTGCCTATAGTCATGCTGTCCTTTGGCTTATAGTCCCGTGGAGCTAATGCAGGATCATACAGAATCCTGGGTCAGAGAAGCTATTAAGGGGAAATTCTCAGATAGCTATGGCAGGAGAAGAGACGTGGAAGTGCCACAAATGAAGTTTACGCCAAGTCCTGAGACCTGATTTTGGCCAACTGTGTAAACTTGCCTTGCTGTGGAACTCTTTCCAGAGATAGAAGCATTAAGAATAATGCAACAACCCTGCTAATGTTTGCACCTAGAGAGGTTACGCTGACAACAGCCAGGCCTTCACGTCAGGCTGGTCATACCGGCATTCCTTGTCTATGGATTCCCTGCCATGAGGAACAGACTGCAATGGATGTTCACAGAGTGCTTTAAGAAGATTACATCCTTTTAAAAATCCATAAAATTATTACAAAAAAGAAGCCAACAAAACACTCCTTCCTGAAATTGTTCCCTTTGGGTAATAATATGAAAACATGTTTCCCATTGGAGCTCTCTTACAAGAAAAAACCTTCACTGTCAGATTTCTAGGTTTCTAATATTGAGATTCCTAGTATTTATGTACTCTGAATCCATGTTTGTGTGTATGCATAAATACACACATGCATATATAATTTAGTAAAATATAGTATGTGTATATATATATGTGTGTATATACATATTAATATATACATATATATAATTCAGTTAAAATATAGTTAAAAACAACCAATGAGCAATGTTCCAGCTAGTCCTTCCAGATCAGTTTTGTAAATTCTGTGAGGCACCTCCTCAAAACACCATCCTTTAAAACCAGCAAGACATAGCCTACTGCTGACTCCCTATGGCCAGAAAGGACACTCAGACAAGAGGCCTTCACTTTGACAGCTATCATCTGTCCTGGGCAAAAGCCAACAGCCACAGCACAGTCCTTCACCTTACACACTAATCTTGTTAAGAAAGCAAATCCTGAGATTTCAAGGCTGGGTTAAGAGAACCAACAGGTTCTCAGTTAACTTAGTGGCAAATGTAAGTGGCATCAATGAGTTCTACAATGCCAAGTATCGCCCAGTCTGGGAACAAAAACATTCCTGCCTTTTTTTTTAATGAATGGCAATTTAAAATGATAACTTTATGCTAAAGATTCACCTTTAACTTGTCATCTAACCAGTTATCAAAGCAACAGTGCAACACAGAATTCTGGCTTTGGGTGTCACTTCACATGTCAAGGCGCTGCAGCGGTGACTTGCAAGGTGTTTAGACGGCGGGCGAGAGGCTGAGTGCGTGGAAAGCCCTGCTGAAAGCCTGTTTTAAGCTTCCATTCGGTTCATCTGCTTTCCCACGGGCAAGCAGCGCCTATCACAGAGCTACCCCAGTCTTAGGTCAGCAGACAATATGGGCGAAGTCTGCAAGAGACGCACTGGCTTGGGTGTGGTCACTGGCAAAGAAAAGCACTGGACCCCTAGCAGCGGCTCCCAAACCTAGAGCCTCACCCTTGCGGGATCATTTCCACCCGCTTCTCCGCAATTTGACCACAATCCGCACCAGCCCTTACGGCTCCCCCTGAGAAAGCACAGCTGCAGCCCCTAGACTACGGCCGCCTCGGCAGACAAAGCCGCTGCTCGGGGGAACCCGCGCTGCACCGAGGCGACCTCCAGTCTTTGGCACCTGCGTCGCCGCCCGGCAGCTCCGCGCCGCTAACCACGCCGCGTCTCGGCAGCGGGTGGACAGCGCGGGGCGGGCGGCGGCGCTGCACCAGAAGGCACCCGAGCCGGAGTGGGGGGGTGGCTGTCTGCAGGCCCCCAGGCCGGGGGAGCGCCTCCCACACGGGATTCCCGGCGTGGCCAGGCCCCCATAAAACCCCAAAGCCAGCACGTGCCCGGAGGTTCCGCAGGGAGTATTCCCAGCACCAGAAAACTGCACCCTCGCGTCCTGGGTGGCCCTGGTTTGTCGTCGGATGGACACCAGGGTCGGCTATTGTTCTCCGGGTCTCCCCGAAGGGAGATCCGCCTCCCTGGCAGCACCTGCTGCTGGGCAAAGCCTTTCAGCTCCTCGAGAAAAGGGCGTGCCGTGGGCGCCGCGGAAGATCACAAAACCCTAAGCGAGTCGCTACCGGCTGGTTTCAAGCCTGGAGACAAAGCTCCTCACCAAGCCAGCCCAGCCCGGTCCCGGATCTGCCATCCTGGGTCCCTAACCCCGGTCCGAGGGCCACGCCCAGCCGGCCACCTGGGCCGCGGGGCCCCGCGCCTGGAGCTGAGGATCCTCGGGCCCGAGACCGCCTCTCAGCTGCTTGCCCCTCCCTCCTCGGGAGGCTCCCCTTCCCAGGAGGCCCCCCTCCCCCGCACAGCGCGGGTCTTCTCCTCGCTCCCGTCCTCCCTCCTCAAACCCAGGCGGCCTCCACCCGCCTGCATCCCTCCTCCCCTCCCCATTCTTCAGCAGAACCAGCCTCGCCGGGCGCCACCTGCACCGAGCTCCTTCCCTCGTTCTTCGGACCCGCCCCCGCCCCTTCTCTTTCCTCCTCAAACCCTAGTTCCCACTCCCTGCTCCCCGAGACCCACTACCTGTCCTAACCCAGCTCCCCAGCCTTCCCCATCCCCATCTTTTCTCAACCGAGGCCTCCCCTCGCCCTCTCCCGGCTTCTCTCCAGCTCAGACTACAGCCCCGTCCCCAGGCCCGGGGCGTCGACGTCGGTGCCCGCTGAGATCGATGCTGCAAGGCGGGCTCCCGCGCTGGGCTCCAGCCGAGGGACCCGGCTCGGCGCCCGCTCCGGGCTGGGCAGCCGCAGGAGGCCTTTGTGGCTCAGGCGGGAGGCTCGGAGGCGGCGGGCGAGTCCTCTGCAGGCGTCCGCTCCGTTAGCCGGGCGGTGGAACAGACCGCCGGGTCGGGTCCAGGCTGGGCAGATCCCAGCTCGGAGGCGAGAAGGACGGAGGGTGTGTATCTGGGTGGTGTGTGGGACCGGGGACAGCGCAGATCCTGGGACCGGCAGGACTGGCCCCCGGCCAGAGGCGCCCCCGCCCAGCCCTCCAGCGGTCCACTGCACCGCGCCCGGCTAGGAAAGCGGCCCACTGCGTGCTAGGCGCGAAACCCCTCGGCCGAGCCGCCTCCTCACCCCAGGGCTTTGCAACCCCGCGAGCACGCATTAAACGCTTACTATGAGCAAGGCCCGGCACGGCGCTTCGCGGGCGTACAAAGAGGACCCCAAGAGCGCCCCGGCTTAGCCCCGATGGCCACCTCCCAACCCCAAACCACACCTCCCGCCGCGTCCCCTGCGGCCGGGCCCCAGGCTCACCCGGCTCCCCGCCCTTTTGTGCGCCTCACGCAGAAACAGAAGGGGGAGAGGAGGATGTCCTAGCCCGGGAGGGGTAAGCCCACCGACCCCCCTGCCATCACCCACTCCTCCGAGATGCTGCGGCCGCGGGGGCCCGTGGCTCGGTCCGTCTCCGTCTCGCCGCGGCGCCGGAGCTGCGGGTGCTCGGGGCGGCGGCGGCTGCACGCGCGCTCGCTCGGGGGCCGCCTCAGCGCGCCCAGCGCGGGAGTCCAGAGTGGGGAGCGGGGGAGGGGCGCGTGTCGGGGGCTGGGAGCGGCCTCCGCCAATCACCGCGCGGCCGGCTCCTCCCGCCGCTCCCCACCTCAGCTAGCAGGTTAAGGGGAGGCGGGGACAGGCGGCGTCCCGCATCCTTGGCGCCGCGCGCCGCCGCCGCCTGGGGACTACAACTCCCGGCAGGCCCTGCTGCAGGGCCGGGGTCCGAGAGCGGACGGAGGGCGCGGCCGGAGAACTCACCGACCCCCCTAGCACCCGGCTCCGCGTTCCCTCGGGTTTCCATGGCGACTCAGGACACCACAAAGCCTGGACGCGCTGAGGCACGGGTCCCCAGGGAGGGCCGGGGGCGGTTCCGGAGGACACCCCGCCTCCCCTCCCCCAGCTGGATCCCACCCCAGGGGCTGAAACAATGCCGCGGCCGCCTCTCCCGGGCTGCGGCCGCGCTGCCCTCCGCCGCAGGACCCCGCCGAGGCCGCCTGGTTCGCGCCAAGACCCGCTCCGACGCCCGCGGGATTGCGGGATGCAAAGGGCCGGGTGGGCGTTATAGGAAAACTGTTCTCATGAACAAAGTGGACGGCCACTTGGGGCCACCGCAGTTCGCATCTGCACCCGGGGAGGTCTCGAACCCGGAGTGCGTTCTCTCCACTGAGAAGATTTTGCCCAGCGCCACGCGGGTGCTTCCCTGTCCAGAGCGCTCAGGCCCAGTGCCTGTCTTATTTCTGGCTTCTGTCAAGGGACAGCGAAGCCTTTGGAAATTATTTATAACCCAATTTACATTCGCTTCACCTGTTTCTTCATGTTTAAATACATACATAATTTACCAAAATAAACAAATCTAAAAAAGGAGAGGAAGGATCATCCCCGGTTTGTCCCACCTCCCTAGCTAATCCCGGTTCAAGCCTTTGCCATTGATCTGTGTTATTTTCTGCAGTTGTAATAATAGTTTGGATTAGTCATTTGCCTCTTTGCACTTAATGTCACTCCAAAGGCGTTGCGATGCGCGTTAAAATGCAGCATCAAGGACCTCCAAGCTGCAGCTGCAGAATCCCTCCCTCCCCGGGCTCCCCGGCGATCCGGTGGGGAGAGGAGTCCCCTGGCAGCCATGGCCTCGTGAGGTGGTTCTCTTTGCAGGATACTTTCAAACAAAATGGTGTTCACTACTCCGGGGGCGTGGAGGGGGTCCCCTCTCCCCATCTCAGCAAAATCTACCCGGGCGCAGGACCCGCAGAGCCCGCCAAGGCGGGGTTCCCTGCCGTCCTTCCCCAGAGAGCTTAGGGCCTGGACCAGGCCAGGCTGGCCTTTGAGGGATGCATTTCTGGATTACCCCACCCCTGAGTCTGCACTCCTTCTCCCCTTCCCAACTCCCGCCTGCTTGGTAAGCAGAGAGCAGGGAGCCCCCAGAGGAACCTCAAAGCATCCCTAACCCAGTGCAGCCCGGGATGTGGCTGTGAAAACTGCTCCAGCTTGGGGCACTGCCCTATGGATTCTCCAGGGCTTGCCCGGACAGGGATGTAGGCAAAATGGACTGGGCTTCAGGGAGGTGGCGTGGAGCTGCCAGCGGCCTCCCGGCGGCGGGGTTCCGAGACTACCGCGCGCGGGCGGTGCTGCGCTTTTTGCTTAAGGGAGAGAGAGCCCTCTAGTGACTGTAAATGTTTTCTGCAGCGTCTCGTAGACCTTAAATTTGGATTCTAGCATCTTAGCTTTCTTGGGCTACCTTCCCTAGTCAGCGAAACGGCTGCCTCTACGTCATCTGTCAGTTTAGGATATTGATAAAGGTTGCACCCAAACCGGGGGTTGCATATGTCCTCAGTCCTCGACTTCGGTTTGTTGTTGCTAACTTAGGCTCCGTTTCCTGGGAAGTAGAAAGAGCACAGAGCTGGGAGTCCCGCATTGCTGGGTTGGAATCCTTGCTCCTTCAGTTTCTGCCGACTTGACCTTGAGAAAGTGACTTACTCCATCTGACCCTTAGCTCCACCCAGAATACTGGGGTCATATACATTCTTTTAACCTTGTCGTGGAAATTAAATGAAGAAAGGTAGATAAAGGCCATAGCACATTGCCTGGCATAGTGTGCATGCAACAAATGCAGCTATTATTATTTATCCCACAGAAAGTGGTTATTGAACAGTGTGAGGGATATAAGAATATGTGACACTCCCCACAGTAACAGCCACAAAAGGCAATATGTTGTGATTTTTATTATAAAGCTCATATTACTACTCGGTCAGATAAAGTAGAATAAGAATTCAGACGAGAAAGAAAGCAGTTCTGCATAACACTGGGAGATGGAGGAGCTAGAATTTGGATTTCACCTGGATATTGATTTGATGGACAGTTCTAAGCAAAGGTCTGAGATTCTGGGGTGAAGGAGCAAAAGCTTATGGGTGGGGAACCCAAGCGGGTATTTGGAAGACAGCAGAAGAACCCACCATGTCTTGAAAGTCAAGTCCCTGAATGAGGGTGATGGGAAGAGAATGGGGATGGTGAGTTAGGCAGGGGTTGGGGGTCAGACCTCACAAAGCCCAGGGCTACTGGTTTTTATGAGTAAATGTGTTCTGAGTTCCCAACAGCCTTAACAAACTTCAGAATAAATACAAGTTAAAGACCACCATGAAAGGAGGAGGGAGGAAAATCGCACTGTCTGAACTCCTATTATGAGCCCGGGTCTATTTGGTGTTTTACAACACATCATTTAATCCTTGCTACTCCACACAGGAGGTAGCATTGCTCATTTCTTACAAATGAGGCTATCTGGATTTAGAGAGGTTAAACGATTTGCCTGCGAAGTCACACTGCTGTAAGCAGCAGAGCCAGGATTCCAAAGGACATCTGCCTGGTGCAAAGCTGAGCCCTTCCTGCTTCAGCACGTCCTCCCTGCCAGCCTCCAGAAGGCCGGATCTCCAGTGCAGAGAGAGCCTGTGACGGTGAGTGACCCTCAAGGAGAGCCTGTTGCCAAGTCATGGAACCCAGATGTTCCTTCCTCTGCAGCGGCAACCTGTTCCTCCTCGAAGTGCCCCCGGGAAAGGGGCTCTCCAGTATTCCCAGGAGCTTTGTATAATATTAAGTTTCCTCCTCATCCTTCTCTTTTCACCTTTTTTTGCTCCTTATACTTCTCAGTGACAACCCTAGTGTGGGGAACACATTGTGAAGTCTAGTTAGCCATTAAAAAAAAAAAGTGAGGCCAGGTGCAGTAGTTCATGCCTATAATCCCAGCACTTTAGGAGGTCAAGGTGGGAGGATCACAAAGCCCAGGAGTTTGAGATCAGCCTGGGCAATATAATGAGTCCTTGTCTCTGCAAAAAAATTTTAAAAATTAGCTGAGTATGGTAGCAAGTGCCTGTAGTGCCAGCTATTCAGGAAGCTGGGGTGAAAGCATCACTTAAACCCAGGAGGCAGAGGTTGCAGTGAACCCAGATTGCTCCAATGCACTCCAGCCTGGGTGACAGAGGGAGACCCTGTCTCAGAAAGAAAAAATAGGCCAGGCATGGTGGTGCATGCCTATAATCCCAGCACTTTGGGAGGCCAAGGCGGGCGGATCACCTGAGTTCGAGACCAGCCTGACCAACATGGAGAAACCCCGTCTCTACTAAAAATACAAAATTAGCCAGCCATGGTGGCGCATGCCTGTAATCCCAGCTACTCAGGAGGCTGAGGCAGGAGAATCACTTTAACTCGGGAGACAGAGGTTGTGGTGAGCCGAGATCACGCCATTGCACTCCAGCCTAGGCAACAAGAGCAAAACTCCATCTAAAAAAAAGAAAGAAAAAAAAATAGGCCGGGTGCGGTGGCTCAGGCCTGTAATCCCAGCACTTTGGGGGGCCGAGGCAGGTGGATCACCTGAGGTCAGGAGTTTGAGACCAGCCTGACCAACATGGCGAAACCCTATCTCTACTAAAAATACAAAAAATTAGCTGGGTGTGGTGGCAACCGCCTGTAGTCCCAGCTACTCGGGAGGCTGAGGCATGAGAATCACTTGAACCCGGGTGGCGGAGGTTGTGGTGAGCCGAGATCGGGCCACTGCACTCCAGCCTGTGTGACAGAGCGAGACGCCGTCTCAGTAAAAAAAGAAAAAAAGAAAAAAAGAAAAAAAGAAAAAAAAATTTGGCCGGGTGTGGTGGCACAGGCCTGTAATCCCAGCTACTCCAGAGGCTGAGGCCGTAGAATCGCTTGCACCCGGGAGGCAGAGGCTGCAGTGAACTGAGAGCTTGCCATTGCACTCCAGCCTGGGTAACAGAGCAAGACTCCATCTCAAAATAAACAAACAAACAAATAAATAAATGTCAACCAGCAGTCAAACCTGTGTATTCAAGACAGTGCCACAAAGCAGGAGCCAAATTTAAAAAGCACGGGGCCGGGGGGGCAACAAGACAGACAAACAGACTTTGGGAGAGGGAGACAGGACAACAGAGGCAGCATGAAGAAGATCTAAAGACATAGAGATATTCAGATACACAAACAGGGGAATGAGACTGGAAGGGTTCCAGGCCCCAGAGCAGTAACTACCCAGTCAGACACAGGGGATGGAGGAGGAGGCCTGGGGAGGCTGAGGGGGTGCTGTGCTAGAGCTGAAACATCAAAGTAAATTCCAATGGTTTATCACTACCCTTGAAACGCCAAGGAGCTCTCCGAAAATTTAAATCATTCCTTCTGGCCTAGGAAAGTTTTGGTTTTTTTTTTTTTCCTGCTTTTATTTTTAAATTTCAGAGTTTAATTTTGAAATGCAAGTTTGTCTTCTCTTGGAACGAGAATGGCCACAAACCAGCATAAAGGAGGAACTGCTGGATGATTCCAGCTGCCCCAGCCTTGTAGCAGAAATCTAAAACGTTAAATTGGCATTTATTTCACGCACATATAGAGGTTCTTTAAGCCAAACAAAGCAAGAAATTGCATAGTCTCACAATGCCATCATTATCCAGATGAGGATAATGAGGCTTTGTTTTAAGCCTTTTTTCTCCCTTAACAAATAAAATTCGAGTATTAGAAAGAATAATAATGAGGACAAGAAACATAAGTCAAACAATCACCTTCAGGGAACAAAAGAATTACTCTAAGAGCCAGATCTTTAATCACCTTTTGGTTCCCTACCTGTCATTTTCCACAACACAGGGCTTTACTGAGCCCCTACTGGTGGAGGAGCTGAGAACATAGGAAAGAATCCTCTCACCCATGCCCCCAAATTTAATTTTTATTTATTAGGTGAATCCAAAGAAGTAAGCCAGTAAGGCCAGGTGTGGTGGCTCACACCTGTAATCCCAGCACTTGGGAGGCCAAGGCGGGTGGATCACCTGAGGTCGGGAGTTTGAGACTAGCCTGGCTCACATGGCGAAACCCTGTCTCTACTAAAAATACAAAAATTAGCTGGTGTGATGGTGCACGCCTGTGGTCCAGCTACTCGTGAGGCTGAGGCAGGAGAATTGTTTGAACCCTGGAGGTGGAGCCAAGATCACGCCACTGAATTCCAGCCCGGGTGACAGAGTAAGACTCTATTTCAAAAAAAAAAAAACAAAAAACAAAAAACCAAAAACAGTAAGAAATACCCTTACTACCTTTCCCTGATATTCTTTTTATGAAGCCAGTTCCTCCGTTGAGCTTTCTTTTGTTTTTGTTTTTTAGAGATGGGGTCTCACTCTGTCACCCAGGCTGGAGTGCAGTGGTACAATCATAGCTCACTGCAGCCCAGCTCATTTTAAAAATCTTTCTGGGGAGATGAGGTCTCACTATTTTGCCCAGGCTAGTCTCAAACTCCTGTCTTTAAGTAATCCTCCTGCATCAGCCTGGGATTACAGGTTTGAGCCACTGCCCTTGGCCCTAATTTTTCTTTTTTAGTTGCATTAATCAGAACTTACCTAAATAAGAATTAAAGCTAGGCTGGGTGCTGTGGCTCACACCTGTAATCCCAACACTTTGGGAGGCTGAGGCGGGTGGATCACTTGAGGCCAACAGTTTGAGACCAGCCTGGCCAACATGGTGAAATCCCTTCTCTACTAAAAGTACAAGAATTAGCCAGGCATGGTGGCGGGCACCTGTAATCCCAGCTACTCAGGAGGCTGAAGCAGGGCAATCTCTTGAACCTGGGAAGTGGAGGTTGTGGTGAGCTGAGATTGCACCACTGCACTCCAGCCTAGGCTACAGAGTGAGACTCCGTCTCAAAAAAAAAAAAAAAAAAAAAAAAGCAAAAGCTATTGAGCATTTCCTGCATACTTTATGTATATTATTCATTTAATCCCACAGCACACCTGTGAGAAAGAGATCATGACATTCACTTTATGGAGGAGGGAAACAGGACCGTGAAGTAACTTCCCCAGGGTCAAACAGCTCAAAGGGGCAGAGCTAAGATCAAAGTCCCAGTTTGACTCCAGGTTCTGTGTCTATTCCATTAGACCACACTACCTGTTACTAAACATTATTCCATTTACAGTTTCCCTTTTCTCAAGTCTATTATGGTTACTTTGATTTTTTTTTTTTTAGTTGGTGGTATTTTTTTCTTGTTGGATTGTATGGATTGGAAGTTATTTTGAGTTATAATTTTCAAGGCAGCATCCACTGTGTGATGGGGTAGAATTTGGTGATTTGTAGAATTAGATTCATTTGCTTCCCCACTTTCAGGTAAAAAGCCCTGTAAGGCATCCAGGTGACCAGGCATCCTACTGTTCAAACCTCCAGTGTCTCAGAGGGCTTGGCCCATGTGGCCAAGTGGGGCAAGTGCTTGTGTGACCTGGGAGAAGTCACCTCCATCAGGGGATGTTCTCTTCCCCACTGTAGTGCAGTAGTGACCAGTTCTGTTATTTTGAGGATCAAAAAAGGCTGGATAAAGTCCCAGAGTGTGGAGATGGTGGGCCTCCTTTTGACACCCCCCTGAATCACTCTCTCAGCTGTGGATCCTGGTCAGGTTATGCAGCCTCTCTACATCTGGGTTTCTTCCTCTGTGCAAGTAGGGTAGTTCAGTTCCTACCCACAGGGTGGCTGTAGGGAGTGCATGAGGAAATGTACATCAGGTGCCTGTGTATGAGACACATGCTCAGTGTTTGGTCAATGGTTTATAATGAATAGGCTTAAAATTTGACAATGTAAAGCACCGTGCAATTGAAGTGTACTGTTAGAACAGAGCACCTACCTTTGGAGGTGTAATGAGGATTAAAGAAATCACATGTGCCGGGCGTGGTGGCTCACGCCTGTAATCCCAGCACTTTGGGAGGCCAAGGCGGGTGGATCATCTGAGGTCAGAAGTTCAAGACCAGCCTGGTCAACATGGTGAAACCCCATCTCTACTAAATATATAAAAATTAGCCAGGCGTGGTGGCAGGTGCCTTCAATTCCAGCTACTCAGGAGGCTGAGGCAGGAGAATCGCTTGAACCCGGGAGGCAGAGGTTGCAGTGAGCTGAGATCGCGCCACTGCGCTCCAGCCTGGGCAAGAGTGAAACTTCGTTCCAAAAAAAAAAAAAAAAGCCACATGTACTGCAATTAAAACTGTTAGCAATTACAATTGTTATTATCTGTTCAGTGAAATAAATGTCCATGAAGCGTGAAATTACAGTAGACAGATCATAGTCCTGGTAGAAATAAAACAACTCTACTTGGTTTTATCATACACCAAGTGGAAATAGTCCTTGAGATCTTTGCCATCCCTCTCCTGGGAATCTTGACCCACCAAACTTGCCAGGTGTTTAGCCAGATTCCTCACAAGATCTGGGTACCTGATCTTATTACCAGGTATCGGGGTACCAGGAGTTGTAGTTGGACCGAGGTCCCTCAAATGAGCTTTGGATGTTTTGTTCTGTGTGTCCAGAATCCAAAACCAGAGCCTACCTGTCTCCCTCTCCCATCCCTTTTTGGCATGGACACAGTATGCCAGGATTGTGCACCTGTAATTCAGTGCCCCACTTCCTGAAGAGGGCCAAGCTACCCGCAGCCAGGGAGTCTCCGCTCAACAGTGGGTGTTTTACCACACGCACCTGGTGTGCCAGAACTAGAAGGTGAATAAATACATCATCCCCCCAACTCACCTCAGCTTTTTTCTCTTAGGGAGGAGAGCCTGTACTCAGACTGGCTATAATTTAAGTGTTCTTTGAGATGTGTCAGCAAATGTTTGTGCTGGGAATTGAACTCACTTGAGTCGAGGCAAAGTGCCTGAGGATCGGATAATGCCTTAGGGCACCTGATCAAATGAGATAACATTTCAGAAATTGTTCAGCCTGGGCAGCATAGTGAGCTCCCATCTCTACAAAAAAATTTTAAAATTAGCTGGTCATAGTGGTGTGTGCCTGCAGTCTGAGCTACTTGGGGGGCTGAGGTGGGAGGATCTCTTGCACCCAGGAGTTTGAGGCTGCAGTGAGCCCATTATTTATGCCGCTGCACTCCAGGCTGGGTGACAGAGTGAGACCCTGTCAAAAGAAAAGAAAAGAAAAGAAAAAAGAAAAAGAGAAAGAAAGAGAGAGAAAGAAAGAGGGAGGGAGGGAAAGAGAAATTGCTTAGCTTTGAATTGCATATAAAGCATTATATCAATGTGAATTATTTTTGTTATTATTTGATCTGAGGCTTAGAGAGTCGTCGGGTTTTGCTCTTTCTTTGTGTGTATGGATAGTTCTTAGCAGCCATTAGCCTTGAAATTGCACATCACCTGGATTGATGGAAACATGATAGTTGTGGTGTGTAAAATCTGCCATTCCTCTGGATTCCAGGTATAGAAAAGATGAGTTAAAGAATTAAGAAGTTTAGGCCGGGTGCAGTGGCTTATGCCTGTAATCCCAGCACTTTGGGAGGCCAAGGTGGGCAGATCATTTGAGGTCAGGAGTTCAAAACCAGCCTGGCCAACATAGTGAAACCCCATCTCTACTAAATATAGAAAAAATTAGCCAGGCTTCGTGGTGGGTGCCTGTAACCCCAGTTACTCAGGAGGCTGAGGCAGGAGAAATTGCTTGAGCCCAGGAGGCAGAGGTTTCAAGGAGCAGAGATCATGCCATTGCACTCCAGCCTGGGCAACAGAGTGAGACTCTGTCTCAGAAAAGAAAGAAAGAAAGAATGAATTAAGAAGTTTATTGAAAACCTTTCCAGTCAAATACTGGCATAACTTCATCTGGAAATACAGTTTTAAATTGCAAGCTGATGTAAGCTAGAGAAGGAGTTTCATTGCTTGTTTGAGAATCCTTCCTCTTGAGTATGGAGGGAAGAAAATGGCCAATAAAAGTAGAACTCTGTGATTCCATGACCTGGGTAGAGGGAGGACGTTGTACTGATCCAAAGTCTTTGAGAATGACCAGGAGAGTCTGGTGGCAGAGTCTGGTTGTAAAATTATGTATGCAACTTTGTAGTTGTGGTTCAGAGAGCCAGCGTTTTGCCTTACTCCTTACGGAGATGGAAGTTCTAGAGTTTCTGACTTTTGTCTTCTCAAAAGCCCTCATGAGGCAGAACAAAGAAAAGCATAGAACTGTCCAAACCTCTAGTGCTGAAACTTATAATAGGTATAGTTCTTACAGTAAACTAGGAAAATTAAAGTAGGATTTACCATAATATGAAGAGAATGCCAAATAACAAAGAGAAGTTCTGTAAAATAAAGATATTTATTTGGGAGTAGAGCATTGCAATGGAAATACATGCGCCATAGTAAACTATGTGCATATTCTGGGAGGTAATGGAAGACAAAGGTTTTTAAAGGGAAAAATGAGGATTACATGATTATTTTGAAATAATTTTCCTTGGCTACAAAGATCAATAACAGCATGGAATTAGACAGGCAGTTTCTGAGCAGATGTCCTTGTGGGAGGAAATAGTTTTGTGTGTGTAAGGTAGCCATAGCCTTTGCGCAAGGTTGCGGTTTTGCAGTCTTTGTGATAGTTTTTATCAGGCATATAAGCATGAGAGCCCTCTCTTCATGGCCTCTCTTCAAACCCAGCTCTATTTGTCAGGTTTTTTTTTTTAGATTAGTGACTCCATTTTGATTCTGACAACTTTCACAAGAAACAGCCCTAAGGATGAGGACTAATCTTGTGTCTGGAGTTCTTTATTCACCTAACAAATCTTGTGATCTTATTTAACTCTGCAGAAGGATAGGACCCCTTGCCTAACAGTCAGCATGGACAGGTGGCATTCACACTATAAAGTGCCATCTGTGGCTTGCTCTCTTGAGGAAATGTACTCACATTAGGCTCTGTAGGCCCACCCTGGGAGAATAGCCCACATGCTCTGTGCAGGTCTCTCAGCCTAGTTCCTGGACTAGCCTGGCCAAAGATTTAGCCCTCTGAGCAATGTGATGACCAGGAGGTACCAGCCATGCAGCCCTCATGTAAATTTAGTAACTCTTTGTCCTTGCTCTTGTTAAGGTCTTCAGCCCATTCCTATCATCTTTTTCTGATGTAAACTCTTTAAAATAAGTTTCTCATAATGCATATTTTTTCTTAATCATTCTGTGATTTTTTTTTTCTCTAGCAGATATAGATTTGATATGGTGAAGATTCTTCTTTATTCATCTCTGTCAAATAAACACTTATTGAGACCCTAGTAAGTTCCAGGTGTTATATCAAGAACCATATGAAATACAAAAACTTTTCAGGTTTTCCTGACCTCAGGGAACATAAAATCTTGTGGAGGACACAGAGAACTATTATAAGAGATGAACGAGGGTATGAGATATAATATAGGTGTAAATAAAATGCTATTGGTAAAAGGCTACACAAAGAAAAAATCCTGGACAGAAATTTAGCAGATTGTAAATGTCGGTTGTCTGGATGATGGGTCTGCAGGGTTTTTTTTTTTTTCTATTTTTCTGACTTTCAAGTAAAACAGTCTACCTGCATTACTTTTTAAGAATTAATAGACTTTATTTTTTGGAACAGTTTTAGATTCATAGAAAAGTTAAGCACATATTACACAAGGCTCCCATACCCCCTCCCCACACATACACACTGAATTTCCTCTATTCTTAACATTGTGCATTAGTGTGGTATATTTGTTACAACCTTTTTTCGAGACAGGGTCTTGCTCTGTCACCCAGGCTGGAGTGCATTGGTGTCATTGTAGATCACTGCAGCCTCGACCTCCTGGGCTGAAGCAGTCCTCCCCTCTCAGCCTACAAAGTAACTGGGAGTATAGGTGCGCACCACCACACCCACTTAATTTTTTAAAAAAATTGTTTTTGTTAGAGACGGGGGTGTCACTATGTTGCCCAGGCTGGTCTTGAACTCTTGGCCTCAAGTGATCCTCCCACCTTAGCCTCACAAAGTGCTGGAGTTACAGGCATGAGCCACCATGCCTGGCTATTACAAATAAATATTGATACATTACTATTAACTAAAGTTCACAGTTTACATTAAGGTTTAATCTTGGTGTTGTATAGTTCCTTGGGTTTTGACAAATCCCTAATGTCATATATCCACCATTAATGTATCAATACAGAATAGTTTCACTGTCTCCCAAGCTTCACCTATTCATCCCTTCCCCTTGCATCCCCTGCCCTGCCCCCTAATCCCTGGCAACTGCTGGTCTTTTTATTGCCTCTATAGTTTTGCTTTTTCCAGAATGGCATATAGTTGCAATCATATAGTATGTAGCCTTTTCAGACTGGCTTTTTTCACTTAGCAGTTTGCTTTTAAGGTTTCTTCATGTCTTTTTATGGCTTGATAACTGAATAGTATTTCATTGTATGGATATAACACAGTTTGTGTATCCATTCGTCTACTGAAGGACATCTTGGTTGCTTCCAGTTTTTGGGGATTCTGAATAAAGCTCTTAAAGACATTCATGTTCAGGCTTTTGTGTGACATAAGTTTTCTTACCCACTCAGTTGAGTAAATACCTAGGAGTGCAACTGTTTGGTGTACTGTAAGATTCTGTTTAGCTTTGTCTTCCTAATTTTCTTCCAAAATGGCTGTAGCATTTTGCACTCCCACTAGCAGTGAATGAGAGTTTCTGTTGCTCCACATCTTCATCAGCATGTGGTATTGTAAGTTCTTCGTATTATACTCATTCCAATAGGTGTGCAGTGATATCTTATCATCTCAATCTGTAATTCTCTAATGATATATGATGTTGAGCATCTTTTCATATGATTATTCATCATCTGTATATCTTGTTTGGTGAGGTGTCTGTTCAGATCTTTTGCCCATTTTTAAATTAGGGTCGTTTGCTTTCTTTGTTGAGTTTTAGGAGTTTTTTAGATTTAAATATAAGTCCTTTATCAGATATATTTTGAAAATATTTTTTTTCTAGTTTGTGGCTTGTCTTTTCATTCTCTTAAGTGTCACAGACCAAGGAGAAGATTTTAATTTTAATAATGTCCAGCTTATCAATGTTCCTTTCATGGTTCATGCATTTACTGTTGTATCTAAAAACTCATTGTCAACCCAAAGTCACCTAGATTTTCTTCTATGTAACCTTCTAGTTTTATAGTTTTGCATTTTACATTTATGTCTATGATCCATTTTGAGTTGATTTTTGTGAAAGGTGTAAGGTCAGTGTCTCAATTCATTGTTTTTACATTATGTATGTCCAGTAGCTTCTTTGAAAAACTATCCATTCTCTTACTTAATTGCCTTCGCTCCTTGTTAAAGATCAGTTGCCTTGTTAAAGATCTGTTGTCTTTTTCTGGGCTTTCTATTATGTTCCATTGATCAATTTGTCTATTCTTTCATCAATAGCATACTGTCTTGATTAAAGTAGCTTTATAGTAAGTCTTGAAGTTGGGTGGTGTCTACCCTTGGATAGTCTTCAGTATTTTGTTGGCTATTCTGGGTTTTTTGCCTTTCCACATAAATTTTAGAATCAGTTTGCTGATATCCACAGAATAACTTGCTGGTAATGTAATAGGGATTGTGTTGAATCCATAGATAAAATTGGGAAGAGTTGACATCTTAACAGTATTGAGGCCAGGTGTGGTGGCTCATGCCTGTAATCCCAGCACTTTGGGAGGCTGAGGCAGGAGGATCACCTGAGGTCAGGAGTTCGAGACCAGCCTGGCCAGCATGGTGAAACCTCGTCTCTACTGAAAATACAAAAATTAGCTCGGCATGGTGGCAGGTGCCTGTAATCCTACCTACTCGGGAGGCTGAGGCAGGAGAATCTCTTGAACTCGTTGGCGGAGGTTGCAGTGAGCCGAGATTGCACCACTGCACTACAACCTGGACGAAGAGCGAGACTCCATATAAAAAAAACAAAACAAAACAGTATTGAGTCTTCCTATCCATAAACGTAGAATATCCATTTATTTGGATAATCTCTTATATCTTTCATTGGAGTTTTATAGCTTTTCTCATATAGATCCTTTACATATTTTGTTAGATTTATACCTAAGTATTTCTCTTTTTTCATTTTTTCTCTTTTGGTGCTAATGTAAATGATACCGTGTTTTAAGTTTCAAATTCCAATTGTTCATTGCTGGTATATAGGAAAGCAACTGACTTTTGTACATTAACCTTGTATCTTGAAGCCTTGTTATAATCACTTATTCCTGGAGTCTTTTTGTTGATTCTTTGGGATTTTCTACACAGACACTCATGTCATTTGCAAACAAACATTTTTTATTTCTCCTTTTCCAATCTGTATCTTTTATTTCCTTTTCCTGTCTTGCTGCATTAGCTAGTACATACAGTATGATGTTGAATGGGAATGGTGAAGAACATCGTTGATCTTAGAGGGAAAGCATCTGATTTCTCACTATTATGTATGATGTTAGCTGTAGGTTTCTTTTTTTTTTTTTTTTTTTTGAGATGGGAGCTTCCCTCTTGTTGCCCAGGCTGGAGTGCAGTGGTGCAATCTCGGCTCACTGGAACCTCCGCCTCCAGGGTTCAAGCAATTCTCACGCCTCAGCTTCCTGAGTAGCTGGGATTACAGGCGCCCACCACCACACCTGGCTAATTTTTTGTATTTTCAGTAGAGACAGGGTTTCACCATGCTGGTCAGGCTGGTCTCGAACTCCTGACCTCCGGTGATCCACCCATCTTGGCCTCCCAAAGTGCTGGGATTACAGGCGTGAGCCAATGGGCCTGGCCTAGCTGTAGATTTTTATAGATGTTCTTTATCAAGTTGGGGAAGTTCCCTTCTATTTCTAGCTTGCTGAGAGTTTTTGATCATGAATGGTGTTAGATTTTGTTAAATGCTTTTTCTGCTTCTACTGATAAGATCATATAATTTAGCATGTTGATGTGATGGATTACATTAATTAATTTTTGACTGTTGAACTGGCCTTGCATACCTAGAATAAATCCCACATTGTTGTAGTGTATAATTCTTTTTATACATTGTTGGGTTCAACTTACTATTTTGTTGAGGATTTTTGCATCTATCTTCATGAGAGATATTGGTCTATAGTCTTTCTTATAACCTTTATCTGGTTTTGGAATTAGGGTAATGATGGCCTCAGAGAATGAATTAGGAAGTATTCCCTCTCCTTCTATTTTCAGGAAAAGATTGTAGGAAAATTGTATTATTTCTTCCTTGAATGTTTGGTAGAATTCACCAGTAAAGCCATCTGGACCTGGTGTTTTCTTTTTTGGAAGATTATTAGTTATTGATTCAATTTATTTAATATATATATAGGCCTGTTCAGATTATCATTTTATTCACTTTATTTTTTTGAGATGGGGGGTCTCACTCTGTCCCCCAGGCTGGAGTGCAGTGGCATGATCACTGCTCATTGCAGCATCCACCACCCAGGCTCAAGCAATTCTCCCACCTCAGCTTCCCAAGTAGCTGGGATTACAGGCATGCACCATCATGCCCAGCTAATGTTGTATTTTTTGTAGAGATGAGGTCTCACTCTGTTGCCCAGGCTGGTCTCAAACTCCAGGGTTTAAGCTATCCTCCCACCTTGGCCTTTCAAACTGTTGGGATTACAGGCATGAGCCACTGCATCCAGGCAGACTAGCTATTCCTTTTTTAAAATTGTTTAAAATATATGTTAAAATTTTAAAAATAGAGTTGATATCCCACTATGTTGCCCAGGCTGGTCTCAAACTCTTGGGCTCAAGTGATCCTCCCACCTCAGCCTCTCTAAGTGCTGGGATTTTAGGCATGAGCCACCAGGCCTTGCCTCTATTTATTTTTGTGTGAGTTTTAGTAGTTTGTGTCTTTCAAGTAATTGGTCCATTTTGTTTAAGCTATCAGGTTTGTGGGCATAGAATTTTTCATAAAATTCCTTTATTATCCTTTTAATGTTCTTAGGATTAGAAGTGATTGCCCCCTCTTTTATCTCTGATATTAGCGATTTGTGTTTCTTCTGTCTCTTTTGTCTTTCTGATTTGCCTGGCTAGAAGTTTATCAATTTTATTGCTCTTTTTGAAGAACCAGCTTTTGATTTTATTGATTTTCTCTATTAATTTCCTATTTTCAATTGCATTGATTTCTTCTCTAATTCTTATTATTTCTTTCCTTCTGCTTCCTTTAGGCTTACACTGCCTTCTTTCTCTAGTTTCCTAAGCTGAAAGCTTAGATTATTTGTTAGATCTTTCTTCTTTCCTAATGTATAACTTCAATACTATAAATTTCCCTGTAAGCACTGCTTTTACTACATCCCATAAATTTTGATGTTTTATTTTCATTTAGTTCAAAGTATTTTAAAATTTCTCGAGACTTCTTTGACTCACGTTATTTAAAAATGTGGTGTTTTGTTTTGTTTTTTGTTTTGTTTGAGATGGAGTCTTGCTCTGTTACAGGTTCATGCCTGTAATCCCAGCACTTTGGGAGGCCGAGGCGGGTGGATCACCTGAGGTCAGGAGTTTGAGAACAGCCTGACCAACATGGTGAAACCCCATCTCCACTAAAAAATACAAAAACTAGCCGGGCGTGGTAGCACGCGCCTGTAGTCCCAGCTACTCAGGAGCCTGAGGAAGGAAAATCACTTGAACCCAGGAGGCGGAGGTTGCAGTGAGCCAAGATCATGCCACTGCACTCCAGCCAAAATTTTCATTCATATGAAAAATTTCATTCATATGGTGGGGAGTTGGAGGGATGCTCTCCTGCGCAGAATACGGAAGGTTGTGTCCAGCATGTCCCTCTGGAGGGGCTACACCATCAGCTAGCGACATTTCTAGGCCCACCACTGCAGCAGCTCTAGCTCACAATGTCTCCTAAAGCTCACCCAACAAGCTCAGAGTAAGTTTTGGGGGCGTGGGTGACATGCCAGAACGGGCTGGCTAAGGTGACAACTCAAGCAAAGACCAGACAGGGAGGTGTGAGTAAAAACTATGGAGCAGTCTTCTTTTTACAGAAACTGAAAAAATAAATGGAACATCTTTAACAGTTTAATAAAATAAAATAAAATAAAAAAGCAGATGTGGCATTTAGCACAATGCCTGCCAGCCAGTAAGTGCTCAGTAAATGTCCACTGTGATATCCAGGATGATGCTGAGAAAGGTGATCTCCACAAGTGATCTCCACCCACTGTGGCCGCCTTCAGAGGGAGTCTACCAGAGACCAAGTGAGTGTCCTCAGCACGTGCATTTTCCAATGACTATCTCCCCGCACCCCAGACACTCCACTAATTCTGCTTCCAGGCAAATAGGTGGCCTGTGGTACCCTGAATATGGACCAGAGACCTGGCACCTCTGTGCCTGTCTCATGCTGAACTTCCTGGCTGGAATTCCCTTCCCTACCCTTCTCCAACCAGCTACCAAGACCTGGTTTAAAGGTGCCTTCCAGACTGGGCACAGTGGCTCATGC
Source organism: Homo sapiens (assembly GCF_000001405.40). Taxonomy (NCBI): domain Eukaryota; kingdom Metazoa; phylum Chordata; class Mammalia; order Primates; family Hominidae; genus Homo; species Homo sapiens. The sequence continues at coordinate 26,831,459 of NC_000002.12, read as the reverse complement.
CTGTAATCCCAGCACTTTGGGAGGCTGAGGCAGGCAGATCACTTGAGGTCAGAAGTGGAGATAAGCCTGGCCAACATGGCAAAACCCAGTCTCTACTAAAAACACAAAAATTAGCTGGGTGTGGTGGCGCGTGTCTTTAGTTCCAGCTACTCGGGAGGCTGACGCAGGAGAATCGCTTGTTCCTGGGAGGCAGAGGTTGCAGTGAGCAAAGATCACGCCGTTGCACTCCAGCCTGGGCAACAAAAGCAAAACTCCATCTCAAAAAAAAAAAAAAGTAAAGATCATCAGAGGATTGAGGTCATAGGGCAAACCACTGCCTTGAAATATGAAGATGCAGTGAAGACAGAATCACAGCTGAGAGCTGCCTACCTGAAGAAGCCACGGGAGCCAGGAACTGGCAGGAGCATTGAGTCAGGAATGGACAAACAGCTGGAGGCTGAGCTGAGACTAGCTTGAGAATTAAAAATCCCTTGGGGCCCAGTGTTGGTCGGGGGCCCACACTTTCATGGATTTTACTTCCAGGAGCCCCACAAGGTTCTCAGAGTGTATTTTTATTAACTGCTTGTCACACATTTATAATACATTTCCCCATCAGTTTTGATGGTATTGTTTATTACCTCATCATATAACATCAGGATGTGCATGCATTCATGTGTGTGTGTGTGGCTTAAACACATGGGTTTTTTTTTCTTTTTTTTAACATGGGTTTTTCTTTTTTTTTTTTTTTTTGAGACAGTCTCGCTCTGTTGCCCAGGCTGGCTTGCAGTGGCGCGATCTCGGCTCACTGCAGGCTCTGCCTCCCTGGTTCAAGTGATTCTCATGCCTTAGCCTCCCAAGTAGCTAGCATAACAGGCACCTGCCACCATGCCCAGCTAATTCTTGTATTTTTAATAGGGATGAGGTTTCACCATGTTGTCCAGGCTGGTCTCCAACTCCTGACCTCAGGTTACCTGCCCCTCTCAGCCTCCCAAAGTGCTGGGATTACAGGTGTGAGCCACCACACCCGTCGTATTTTTCTTATGTAACAAGAAGCCAGGAACTAGGCAGTTACTGATGTCTCTTGAGCTGCTCCAGGATACCATAGATGTTTTTCTGGTGTTTGGCTCCATCTTTAGTTTGTTCCCTTTATTCTCAAGCTTGTTGCCTCCCAGTTGCAAAAGGGCTGCAATAATTTTTTGTTCTGCAAACATTTTCTATGGTGAAAATAGACAGATAATTAACTTTTTTTTTTTTTTTAGCATGATTGAGCAAAGTTTGGCTGTTGTTGATTGTTTAGAATTTTTTTCCTCACCTTTACCAACATAACCTGGTTATGTTGATATCAGGTAAATTGTTTAGTATTGTTTTTAAATTTGGGGAAATTTAAGCACCATTTAGAACAAGTAAGTTTTGAACAGTTCTGGTGGCAGAATATTTTCCTTAGTGCAATTCCTAAATATAAGTTTCAAGTCAAATAGACCGTGTGAGGAAGTGTCACGGTATATTAGGCTGAGAGGCGCCCTGAGTCAACACAGTCTGAGCTGGAGTTGGGACAGTAACCTCCAAGTGTTAGCAGGCAGCTGGGCTTTCAAACTCTCCTCCTGTGTGGTGGCTCACACCTGTAATCCCAGCACTCTGGGAGGCTGAGGCGGGTGGATCACTGGAGGTCAGGAGTTCGAGACTAGTCTGGCCAACATGGTGAAACCCCGTCTAAATTAAAAATACAAAAATTAGCTGAAAATCACTTGAACCTGGGAGGTAGAGGTTGCAGTGAGCCGAGATTGTGCCACTGCACTCCAGCCTGGGCAACAGTGGGAGACTGCATCTCGAAAAAACAAAAAACAAAAATCTCTCCTCCTGGAGCCACACCCATAACCCGCGACCACCCAAATACTCGCTAGTAGCCAGGCCCTGGGCCCCGCATCTTCAACAGATGTGCCTGTCCTTCATTTCACTCTCTGCTCTCCACTTCACTGACTGTCCAAACATGGGACAAACAGTACTGTAGGCTCCCTCCCTGGACCATCTAGAAGCTACTTTGGGGGCAGCTCCTGGCTGTCTTCTGGTCTGATACACATCTCAGCCTCTACTCTGAAGAACATGAAGTCCAAGGTCAGTTTTACTCAGCTGTGTCCAACCTTCCAGCCAAAGGGGAGGGAGTCGGTTCTTGGGTCACCCTCTGGCATCCTGGGGCAGGACAGGTCTCCCCTTGCTCAGAAGCTGCCTGCCAGGCTGAGATTGGTGCCAACTCTGGCTTCACTTAAAAAGAAACGCTGGGGCTTTGTCTAGCACCATTTGGGATGAGGTTGCTGACTGTAAGGAGTTTCAGAGGAAACAATCAGTGCCCTCTCTTCAGTACTGCCCCCGCTGCTCCTGTGGAGACAGTGCTCGGTACAAATAACACGAACAGCCAACACTGAGTGCAGATTTCTGTGTACTGGGCTCCGTTCTTCACACTTCCTATATTAACTTAACGTTGACCAGGAGGACACAGGCAGAGAGGATGAGCCATGTGCCTGGGATAAGTGAACACTGGGGACAGGATTTGAACCCACACACTCTAGCTTCAGAGTTCCTAAACGTTGCCCCGCAGACCCAAACGGAACAGGAACTTTTTTTTTTTGAGATACAGTCTCGCTCTGTCTCCCAGACTGGAATGCAATGGTGCGATCTTGGCTCACTGCAACCTCCACCTCCCGGGTTCAGGCGATTCTCCTGCCTCAGCCTCCCGAGTACTAGCTGGGATTACAGGCGTGCGTTACCACGCCTGGCTGATTTTTGTATTTTTAGTAGAGACAAGATTTCACCATGTTAGCCAAGCTGGTCTTGAACTCCCAACCTCAGGTAATTCTCCTGCCTCGGCCTTCCAAAGTGCTGGGATTACAGGCGTGAGCCACCATGCCTAGCCATGGGACCTGTTTCCACCATGACAAGAGAAGGGTTCTCACCAGCTTGCCAGTGAGATGTGAGAGTTGATGCTGGATTCCCCAGCAAGTGTTCCCCGTGGTTTACAGTGTCCACAATGTGCTTAAATCCACATAAGTCCTAATCCCTGCCCAGAGGGCAGATTCTGCATGAGGAAGGAATTGCTCCTGGGGCCAGAATCCTACAAGGACCTCAGGTGTGCCCATCATCCCTTTAGCTTGGAGGATGGGGTCCTGGGGAATAAAACGAACACTCAACTTGGTGATGATCACTTGGAGAGGCTCAGGTGGGCACGTAGGTCAGACTCTAGACCCAGAACAGCTTGTAGACTGTCCATGAGGGACGGTGGTCAAGAGAAGCCACAAGGACATGTGACATGGGACACTGACCTTCAAAGGCCATTTGACCTAGTCAAAGGCTGAATGGAAGGAAGGGAGAGAAGAAAGGAAAGTAATATTTGCTGAGCATTCCTGAAGATCTGGGGCCTGGCTGCTGGAAACATTTCATTTTCATTTCATGATATGAGTTTAATCATTCTCTTCAGTCTTTGTTGTTCTCATAAAGTCCTGGGTTTATGAACAACCCCAGGTATTATTTCAGGCAGATAGATGCCTGGGAGAACTCGGCTTGCTAGTATATCAAAATTTGCTCACAGTAAATAAAATTCAGGTTAGCGGCCTTTAAATGTTGTCTTTTCAAAATTACATTTTATTGATTTCTTTTTATTATAGGAGTAGAACACATTTGCTGTGGAAAAAAGAATTAAAAAAAAAAAGCATCCACAATTTCACTATCCAGAAAGAATCACAGTAAATATTTTGGGATATATCTCTCCAAAATTTTTAGCATAATTTCACAAAAAATGAAATATTAAAAATGGCTTTCAGCCAGGCGCAGTGGTTCACGCCTATAATCCTAGCACTTTGGGAGGCCAAGGCGGGTGGATCACCTGAGGTCAGGAGTTCGAAACCAGCCTGGGCAACATGGTGAAACCCCATCTCTACTAAAAATACAAAAATTAGGGCAGCGGGCACCATGGTTGGTGGCAAGGCGACCACCACGGTGGAGGAGCTGGTCTCAGGGGTGCGGCAGGTGGCAGACTTAGAGGAGCAGTTCCGCTCCTACTCAGAGAGCGAGAAGCAATGGAAGGCCCGCATGGAATTCATGCTGCGCCACCTGCCCAACTACCGCAACCCACCCAACAGCGGTGGCCGCCTGGACCAGCTGCTGTCCCTTCTTCATGGTCTGGGCCAACCACCTCTTCCTGGGCTGCAGTTACAATAAAGACCTTTTAGACAAGGTGATGGGAATGGCTGATGGGATGGAAGTGGAAGACTTGCCACAATTTACTACCAGAAGATAATTAATGAAAAAGCATCAAAGGTAAGCCACAAGATTTATCACATTTTCATCATCAGCTACAGGATTAGAAAGGAGGCTGGGATGAATGTGACACAGACCACAGCAGCTCTCTTAAGACTCCTGGTATTACCAACATAAAGAGGCAGGTGGAATGAGAAGGACTCTGTCTAGATTGGCTTAACATTCTCATTTTTCCAGTGGTTATCACTGCAAAAGTATGTATGGATGGTTATGTATTTATAAATCATGCACTCTGAGTTCATCAACATAGCAAAAGCCCTCTTTTTCTATTTTTCTGTTTTTTTTCTTACCAACAAGGTCTCACTCTGTCACCCAGGTGGGAGTACAAAGGTGCAGTATTGGCTCATTGCAGCCTCGAACTCCTAGGCTCATATTTTCAGTTTTTAAGTATCAGAATTTTTGCTTAAAATGCCTTTTTGGGCTGGCGCAGTGGCTCACGTCTGTAATCCCAGCACTTTGGGAGACTGAGGTGGGCAGATCACCTGAGGTCAGGAGTTCGAGACCAGCCTGGCCAACATGGTGAAACCCTATCTCTACTAAAAATACAAAAAAATTAGCTGGGCGTGATGGCACACACAATTAGAGACAAAATAAAAATAAATAAAAAAAGAAAGATTTTTCAGGATTTTTTATATAGGGTCTCTCTCTGTCCCCCAGGAGGTTTAATATATTTTGTATGTTAGAGAGAGGCTATATCTTTGGGGTGTTGTAATGAAGGTGTTCATTTTTGCCACACTAAGGTGTAAAAGGGATGTGTCTGGCTATATGTTCTATATAGAGTATGTAGAACAGTGTTATATGTTGTCAGAATTTTGTTTGTCTGCAAAAATACTTGTGTATAACAGACATTTCTTAATTATCTAGCCCTTAATTTTTCTCGTGAAATAGAAGTTCATTACTTTGGTTAAAAGTTATAATTATTATGCACGGTTGAGACTATTCTAGGAACAGTAGCAAAAGAGAAATACAACTGTGGATGTGCTTTTGTTTTTAAAGGAAAAAGAGGCCTGGCGCGGTGGCTCACACCTGTAATCCCAGCACTTCAGGAGGCCGAGGAGGGCAGATCACGAGGTCAGGAGTTTGAAATGAGCCTGACCAATGTGGTGAAACCCTGTCTCTACTAAAAATACAAAAATTAGCTGGGCATGGTGGTACGTGCCTATAATCCCAGCAATTCAGGAGGCTGAGGCAGGAGAATGGCTTGAACCCTGGAGGTGGAGGTTGCAGTGAGCTGAAATCACCCCACTGCACCCCAGCCTGGGTGACAGAGCGAGACTCCGTCTCCAATAAATAAATAAAATTTTAAAAAAAGGAAGAGTAGTTTTTCCTAAAGCAGCAATTCCCAAACTTTTTGGTCTCAGGAGTTTACACACATAAAAAAAATTAGAGGACACCAAAAAGATTTTGCTTATATATCTGTTAATAATCCCCACAGAGGCTGGGCACCATGGCTCATGCCTGTAATCCCAGCACTTTGGGAGGCCGAGGCAGGAATATCACTTGAGCCAAGGAGTTCAAGACCAGCCTTGGCAACATAGTGAGATCCTGTCTCTATAATAATCATAATCATAATCACCAGCATCATCCCCACACAGAAAACTAAAGTAGAATTTTTAAAAAAATCCATCTGAAGTAAGCAATGATGGAATCGTTGGATGTTAACATATTTTTATGAAAAATAACTATTTTCCAAAAAATGAGAAAAGCGGCATTATTGTCTATTTGCAAATCTCCTTAATGTCTAGCTGAACAGAAGACAGCTGGGTTCCCATAGCTGCTTCTGTCCTCAATCTCTTGCCATTTCATATGTCATGTAGCCTCATTCTATGCTCATGAGAAAATGAGAAGGGAGAAATCATGTCTTAGTGTGACTATGAAAATAGTTTTGACTTCAAAACTGAAAACCCCCCTGAAAGGGTCTTGCAGACTTCTTGGGGGTCCCCAGACCACACTCAGAGAACTTGTGTCTTAAAGTGTCAGTTTGTTCCAGAATATAAAAGACCATAACAAAGGACAAAATTCAGAAAGTGATTTTTATTTGCCTGAAAATAAGTGATTATTTGTCTGAAAGAGGTTATATGAATATATGTCAGCATATGAAATATGTTTAAAATTTGACAAAATTCATTTGTTTTCTTGGTTTTGCTTACTTGATGTATTAATTAATGCCTTCACATACAATAAAAAAAAAGGTAATTATTTTTCTTTTGGAGACAGAGTCTCACTCTGTCGCCCAGGCTGCAGTGCAGTGGTGCGATCACAGCTCACTGCAACCTCTGCCTCCCTGTTTCAAGTGATTCCACTGCCTCAGCCTCCTGAGTAGCTGGGATTACAGGCGTGCACCAATAGTCCAGCTAATTTTTTTGTATTTTCAGTAGAGATGGGGTTTCGCCATGTTGCCCAGGCTGGTCTGGAACTCCTGAGCTCAGACAATCCACCCGCCTTGACCTTCCAAAGTGCTAGGATTACAGGCATGAGCCACCATGCCTGGCCTAAAAAATGTAATTCTTTATCTCTGTGAAATCTGCCTGCATATAAGGGATTCTATAATTTCACCCACTCTATTTTGGCTTTCTTGTGTCCTTGATTATGTAAACATAAGAAAAAAAGAACAAAGTTTTCTCACAAAAGCACTAAAATTCTTTACAATTTTTTTTTTTTTTTTACAATTGTGTTGCCTTCTGTATTTATTTTTAAATATTTTGTTGTGCATTTTGATTAAAGAGGTAACCAAGTATCGTTTCCTGGTCACTCATGATTCTATCTTAATCATGTACCCAAATCTCCTCTGACAACTCTTGATATTTTGCCTTCAGAAATTAGACACAAAATTTAAATTTAAAAAAAAAAAAAAGAGGAAGGATTTTTCAGGATATCTTTTTTTTTTTTTTTTTTTTTTTTTTTGGAGACAGGGTCTCTCTCTGTCCCCCAGGCTGGAGTGCAGTGGTGGTGTGATCTTGGCTCACTGCAGCCTCGACCTCCTGGGCTCAAGTAATCCTCTCGTCTCAGCCTCCTAAGTAGCTGGGATTACAGGCATGCATCACCGCACCTGGCTAATTTTTGCATTTATTTTGTAGACGTGGGGCCTCGCTATGTGTTCCAGGTTGGTCTCAAACTACCGGGCTTGAGCAATCTGCCTGCCTCAGCCTCCCAAAGTGCTGGGATTACAGGCATGAAAGAGGCACTGTGCCCACTTTTTTTTTTTTTTTTTGAGACAGAGTCTCACTCTGTCACCCAGGCTGAAGTACAGTGGTGTCATCTTGGCTTACTGCAACCTCTGCCTCCGGGGTTCAAGCAATTCTCCTGCCTCAGCCTCCCAAGCAACTGGGATTACAGGCATCTGCCACCACACCCAGCTAATTTTTTGCATTTTTAGTAGAGATGGGGTTTCACCATGTTGGCCAGGCTGGTCTCAAACTCCTGACCTCAAGTGATCCACCTGCCTCAGCCTCCCAAAGTGTCGGGATTACAGGCGATGAGCCACTGCACCTGGCCCCCCCTTTTTTTTTTTTTTTTTGAGACATGGTCTTGCTCTGTTGTCCAGGCTGGAGTGCAGTAGTACAACCACAGCTCACTATAGCCTCAATCTCCCAGGCTCAAGTGATCCTCCCCACTCAGCCTCCCAAAGTGCTAGGATTGCAGGCATGAGCCACCATGCCTAGCCTAAAGGTATCTTTTTTTTGAGACAGGGTCTCGCTCTTTCACCCAGGCTGGAGTGCAGTGGCATGATCTTGGCTCATTGCAAGCTCCGCCTCCCGGGTTCATGCCATTCCCGCCTCAGCCTCCTGAGTAGCTGGGACTACAGCTGCCTGCCACCACGCCTGGCTAATTTTTTGTATTTTTAGTAGAGATGGGTTTTCACCGTGTTAGCAAGGTGGTCTCGATCTCCTGACTTCGTGATCCGCCCGCCTCGGCCTCCCAAAGTGCTAGGATTACAAGCACGAGCCACCACGCCCGGCTGCCTAAAGATATCTTTTATACCTAAAACTATCTTTGAGATTTCCCAGAGGACACCCTGGAAAGTCACAAAATTTGTCTGGTTTTCTGCCTATAAAAAGGGAAGTGCTAAAAATAAGTTTGATGTGTTACTATTCTGAGTTGCATGGGAAATGTATAAATATTTCAGAAACTGGTATTCTTTATGGGGAAGTTTCTGGAAATGTTTCAATGTCCTCATTATCTATAATATGCTTTTATCAGCTGGGTACAGTGGCTTGCACCTGTCATCCCAGCTACTCAAGAGACTGAGGTTGAGGATGGCTTGAGCCCAGGAGCTTGAGGCTACAGTGATCCATGATCATGCCACTGCACTCCAGCCTGGGTGACAGAAGCAGGCCCTGTAGCTAAAATAAATAAACAGAAAAAATAAATGCTTTTATCCTCAGGGAAGAAACACTGATAAAAACTCTTGTGAAACAGTTATGTACTATATTTCAATAGAGAACTCTACTCTCCTCCATCTTGACTTTATTGGTAAAGTAATAAGTTCTCCATAGCCATTAAGAATCTGCCATTTACCAATAGGTTTTCTTTTGTTTTGATGATTATCTGAAGGGTCAGCTATAAGCTATAGGCCAGAGTCCATGTCTCTAACAAAGGATAGACTCAAAGTCTGTGGAAAAGAACTGTACCAGGTGTTTTAACCTACTGCTACTTCATTTATTTTTATTTTTTTTGAGATGGAGTCTCACTCTGTTGCCCAGGCTGGAGTGCAGTGTCGTGATCTCGACTCACTGCAAGCGCCGCCTCCCGGGTTCATGCCATTCTCCTACCTCAGCCTCCCAAGTAGCTGGGACTACAGGCACTCACCACCAAACCTCGCTAACTTTTGTAGTTTTTAGTAGAGACAGGGTTTCACCATGTTGACCAGGCTGGTCTCAAACTCCTGACCTCAAGTGACCCACCCACTTCGGCCCCCCAAAGTGCTCGGATTGAAGGCATGAGCCACCACACCCGGCTCCTATTGCTATTTCAAAGAATGCTCTTAAGTACAGACTGAGCTGAGACCCCTTAGACAGCTTTGAGACTTTACTTAAGAAGGCAATGCTCACAAAACTCTCCCAGGAAAACTAGCTACTACCTGCCTTATGCCTTACGTAGGGTCTCAGCCTTATTGGTGGTATGGAAGGTCACCTAAGGTCTGACCAGGAGGCTTAACAAACTTTGGAACCTTAAGTAGAAAGGGATTCATTCAAAGTTACATGTACTATTGATGAAACGCAGAAGAACATTTTGGGGAGGCTTTCTAATTTCAGGGAAATATAAGAATATAGATTTTTAAAAGGTCATCCAGGTATGGTGGCTCATGCCTATAATCCTAGCACTTTGGGTGGCCAAGGCAGGAGGATTGTTTGAACCTATGAGTTTGAGACCAGCTTAGGCAACATAGTGAGACCCTGTCTCAACAAAATATACAAAAATTAGCCAGGTGTGGAGGTGAGTGCCTGTAGTCCCAGCTACTTGGGAGACTGAGGTGGGAGCATTGCTTGAGCCTGGGAGGTTAGGACTGCAGTGAGCCGTGATCATGCCACTTCACTACAGCCCGGCAGACAGAGCAAGACCTAATAAATCAACAAATTAATTAATTGAGTCTTTGATTCCCAATGAAAACCTAAAGACAGAAGTTAATTTTCTGGCCTTAGATGCTAATACTATATGGCTCTGGATTTGCAAAGCAAACAGAAAGAGGCTTATGTGATTAACATTCTTGTTGCACCCATGTAAATAATTAGCACATATCTAGTGAGACTGGTGTTTTGTGTATTGCCATCAAGAAAAGTTTTGGAGATTATGATGATCAAAAAGAGGGCAAGGGAAGTCAGGAAAATTGTAGAAAATGTTTTACCGGACAAAAAGATTACTGGGTATCTATTGTTACATTAAGTTAACCCTAAAGCTCCCTCCTTACATATTTTAAGTTCGGCCTAAGCGTTTCTCCATAGATAGTAAACTCCAGCCAAACTGGATGTGTAAAGAGACTGTAACCTACTCGTGTGCCAATCACAGAGTTTCAGCCAATCACAGGTGGCCAACTATTCAAACCATGCTCAAATAAGGCAAACGTTGAGCTGTAACCAATCAGCTGTTTCCGTGCCTCACTTTCATTTTCTGTACATCACTTTCTGTTTTTGGTCCATAAATATGGCAGCCCTGGAGTCTCTCTGAACCTATTCTTGTTTGGGGGGACTCATGATTAGTGAATCATTCTTTGCTCGGTTAAATGCTATTCAATTTAATTTGTCTTCAGTTTTTCTTTAACACTTTTTTTTTTTTTTTTTTTTGGACAGAGTCTAGCTCTGCTGCCCAGCTGGAGTGCAGTGGCGCGATCTCGGCTCACTGCAACCTCTGCCTCCTGGGTTCAAGTGATTCTTGTCCCTCAGCCTCCCGAGTAGCTGGGATTACAGGTACACACCACCACACCCAGCTAATTTTTTTGTATTTTCAGTAGAGACAGGGTTTCACCATGTTGGCCGGGATGGTCTCAATCTCCTGACCTCGTGATCCGCCCGCCTTGGTCTCCCAAAGTGCTGGGATTACAGGCGTGAGCCACCGTGCCCAGCCTCTTTAACACTCTTATGGGTTAAATTGTGTCACTCCCCAAAGTGACATATATTGAAGTCCTAACCCTCAGTACTGTGAATGTGACCTTATTTGGAAATAGGGTCTTTGCAGATTTAATCAAGTTAAGATGAGGTCATTAGAATGAGCCTTTATCCAATATGACCGATGTCCTAGTAAGTGGGAAATCTGGACATGGGGAGAATGCCACGTGTCTATGGAGGCAGAGATTGCAGTGATGCATCTACAAGCCAGAGAAGCCAAGAATTGCCAGAAACCAGCAGGAGCCAGAAGAGGCAAAGAAGGAGGCTTCCCTGGAGCCTAGAGCGAGCCAAGCCCTGCCAACACCTTGATTTTGCACTTCTAGCCTCCAAAATTTTGAGACAAATTTCTGTTGTTTTAAACACCCAGTTCAGGTGAGGTGGCTCATGCCTATAATCCCAGCACTTTAGGAGGCTGAGGTAGGATGTCTTGAGCCCCGGAGTTTGAGACCTGCCTAGGCAACATACTGAGACCCTGTCTCTACAAAAAATACTAACCAACCAACCCATTCTGTGTTGTGATTCTCAGACCTAGAAAATGAATACATATCTTTTCTGTGGAAAGCAAGGCTTAGACTTTACCGGGTTATCTGATTCTATATGGTCTGCACCTTTCATTGTCTGTGATTGCAAATTATTCCAGCTTATAAACATGTAAATACATTTCCCATTAAAGATGCAATTCATTTCATTCAGTGAAAGAGGCCATCTCTTAGTAATTCATTTCCGCATTCCTGGTCATCTACATACGTGTTTGTTTTTTTGGATTCTCCGCGGAAACAGTTTTTATATCTTACTGGTTCTCTCAGTAGTTAACGAGTTAAATAAAGTCTTTAAGATGTGTTCATTTTGTATTAGTATGAGTCATGATTTTACCTTTCTGGAAAAAAATTAGCAATAGGTATAGAGAGTCAAGGGATATTATCATCATCATATATTTTTTGAGACGGAGTCTCGCTCTGTCACCAGTCTGGAGTGCAGTGGCGCGATCTCGGCTCACTGCAACCTCTGCCTCCCAGGTTCAAGCGATTCTTCTGCCTCAGCCTCCCCGAGTAGCTGGGACTACAGGCACGAGTCACTACACCCAGCTAATTTTTGTATTGTTAGTAGAGACGGGGTTTCACTATGTTGGACATGCTGTTCTCGAACTCCTGACCTCATGATCCACCTGCCTTGGCCTCCCAAAGTTCTGGAATTACAAGCGTGAGCCACCACGCCCAGCCAAGGAATATTATTTTGAAAAGTCTGCTCCAATTTCTCGGTTCTTTCCCAGGTCAGTCAACCAGGGCATTCTCTATTCACTGCCCCATAAAAGAGATGAATATGGCTGGGCATGGTCTAGCTGCGCCCCTGGGGAGAGCAGAAAGAACTCAGGCATAATCAATAGATTTGGCAGAATATGAGTCTGAGCAAGTCCTCATGCTTGGCACTAGATAAAGGCTTCCAGGTGTGGGTGGAGGAGAGCAAGAGCAGGAGGGAGGAGCGTGCAGCAGCACAGCTCATGTGGATACTAAAGCAAGGGTGCCCTGTGCCTTTCCCCAGCCCAAGCCCAGCTGTCAGGGTGGGACGATAGACTGTCTCATCACAATAAGCCAATTTACAGCAGAGGGTCCTTGCTGTTGCACTGTGTAAGACCCCAAAATTTAGATACACCCCACAGAAGAATCACAACTCCCTGAGATTAATTTGCCATAACTACTCCCACTCCAGCTGAGCACTTGGAATAAAAATCATGTATCGATAGAAAAACCAAGTTTGTAGATTTAGATTCTGCTCCCTTACAATATCTCACTTGTATTCAGGTATCGTAATTTATTTTTCTATTTCTTAATCTAGTGCACATTTGTCAGTCTCTTTAGCTTCTCAGCATCCCAATTCCCTTCTAGTGGAAGCCTCCCACTGTAGTTGCTGAAAGCCCCACGTCAGTTTTCCTGACTCTCTTGTCACTAGCTTACAGGCATGGGATCCAGTCCCTGCCCATCACATGCACCCACACCAGGCTTGGAACTAGGAGCTGGGGGTGCAAAAGCAGAGGCCCTGGAGGAACCCAGTCTGGCAGAGGCAGAGGCTTCAGCAAGATGGCACATCCCTGAGCAGCTGGTGGCCGTGGGGCTGGTGGTGATACGCAGTGTTTGGCGCCTGTAGGATTGGAGGTGCACACTGTAGAAGTGAGTCCACTGCCCCAGTCCTGCCCAGGCTTTCAGGCACCCGCTCTTCCTGGCTACACCACCTAAAGCCATATCCTGTCCTTTTAATAAAACCCTTTCCTGTCTACCTTAGCAATGATTTCTGTTGCTTCCAATTAAGAACTCAGATTATTTCCGGACTTTCAAGTTGTTTGCATTTTTTTGCTATTATAAACAATCTGGAACAAACATTTTTGAATATCCATCTTAGTATCCTTGTCTAATTTCCTTAAGGGAAATCTGATGACAGAATTGTTGGGTACTCATATTTTTAAGGGTTTTGGTATAGAAAATGTTACATTACATTCCCACTTACAGCCTGTAAATACGCCTGTTCTCCCTGTACCTTTGTATTATTCCACAGTGCATCTTAATAAGGCTTATGTGCTCGTGTGCGTGTGTGTGTACACACATGAACCCAGACCAGTTGAAATCTACGTCCCTTTCCCCTCTTGCCATCATTATGAAGCCAGGTTAATATCTTTATCCATGCACCCCAGACCCCACAGAACAATGGGTAACTGTAATTGAAGTAGAATATTCTTCATTATGTGGTTTGGAGCTACTCTCAGCTCAAATTCACTAAAATAATGAAACTGGAGCATGAAATGAAGAAAAGGAAACAAGTCATGAAGAAAACCTCCGTAAGGCCGGGCGCGGTGGCTCATGCCTGTAATCCCAGCACTTTGGGAGACTGAGGCAGGCAGATCACGAGGTCAGATGATCGAAACCAGCCTGGCCAACATAGTGAAACCCCGTCTCTACTGAAAATACAAAACAAAAAATTAGCTGGGCGTGGTGGCGTGTGCCTGTAATCCCAGCTACTTGGGAGGCTGAGGAACAAGAATTGCTTGAACACGGGAGGTGGAGGATGCAGTAAGCCGAGATCGCGTCACTGCACTCCAGCCTGGCAACAGAGCGAGACTCCATCTCGGGGGGGGGGGGGGGGGAAAAAAAGGAAAAAAAAACCCTCTGTAAAACTCTGACCAGGGGCGAATCCTGTCTTGTCTTCTTCATGTCCAGGGGGAATTTTATTGATTAGCCAGTTACCAATAATGAATTCAAAGAAACTCCCGTTCAAATCATATTTGAGATGACTCTTGAATCTCCTGGACATAGAAAAAACAATTTGCAATGCACGATTCTGTATAAAGTGACCTGTGGGTCAGAGCCCTGGGGCACCTGTTGGGCATGAGAAGGGAAATGAGGCCACTGTGGCAGAAGCTCAGACCTACGGCAGAGCTGGAAGGTGAGAAGGGGAGGGAGCCTGGGCCTGGCTGAGTTCCTGAAAGCACTAGGGTGGAGGGAAATAGCCAGCTCCTCCCATGGGAGGGGCTGCAGGGCTCAGCCTGTGCCTAGGAGAGAGGCCAGCCCATCCTGCCCCTAGCCCTGCATCACTAGGGAGGAGGCGGTTCTTCTCTGCTTCCAGTATGAAGGCTTGGCTGCCACCTGAGATGATGTTGCTTCTCAGGCAAGTAATTCTAAATCCCCCCACCCCCTTGGCATTAAATGGATTTTCACTGTTGTCACATGCTCTCCCCTTATCAGAGGCTCAGGAACTCTTTAGACACTATAGCTTCCCTCTTCTGGTTGGCCCCTCTACGTACATTAGAGTGATTTCAGAACACTTGAGACCATCCTCTGTCCCCTCCCCTATGTGACTGATGCTTGAAGTAACACAAGCTCTTTAGGACTAAGGCTTATGACTCCTCTAACCTGCCCCTCAAAATATTATAGCAGTTTAAAAAGTACAGTCATTTACTCGAGTATAAATGCGCCACTAATCTAGATAAAGGAAAAAGGTGAGGAACCCCCCAGACCAAAAGGAAAAGGAAAGACAATAGAAGACTCAGGCCAGGAGCGGTGGCTGTCCTCCCAGCTACTTGGGAGGCTGAGGTGGGAAGATCGCTTGAGCCCAGGAGTTCAAGGCTGCAGTCAGCTATGATGGGGCTGCTGCACTCCAACCTGGATGACAGAGTGAGACCCTGCCTCAAAAAAAAAAAAAAAAAAAGAGAGAGACAGGAGAGAGAATAGAATAGAGCAGTTTGGGAGGCCAAGGAGGGCAGATCATCTGAGGTCAGGAGTTTCAGACCAGCCTGGCCAACATGGTGAAACCCTGTTTCTACTAAAAATACAAAAATTAGGCGGGCATGGTGGCGTGCGCCTGTAATCGCAGATACTTGGGAGGCGGAGGCAGGAGAATTGCTTGAACCTGGGAGGCGGAGGTTGCAGTGAGCTGAGATCGCGCCACTGCACTCCAGCCTGGGCGACAGACCGACACTCTGTCTCAGAGAAAAAAAAAAAAGAATAGAAATATAAGGCTCACTAGTGTCCATGCTTCCTTTAATAATATAGGTGTTCTCTCCTGGGGCTTCTCAGACAGGACCCATTTTGTTTTCATTTGTAACACCGCTGTTTTCTTCTAAACCCCAGATTCAAATCTGTCTTTAGATAACCACTCTAATTCTGGTCTTCACTTCTGAAACACGCACACACGTAAAGAAACAACAAACAAAAAAAACTCCCCCCACCCCGCCGCAATTCTCTACTCAGTCCAGCTGCTCCCTCACTGCCCTTGGGCCTGGCAGGCGCCCCCGCCCCGGCGCCCCCCACCCGGCGGCCCCCCCGCCTCCCGCTCTGCCTGTGCACTTCCTTCTCCTTCCAATCAGGAAAGTAGAAAAGTGGGCCTCACCTCCTCCGACTTGCTAAAGCTGGGTGGGATTGTTTCTGTTTTTTTTTTTTTTTTTTTTTTTTTTTTTTGAGACGGAGTCTCGCTCTGTCGCCCAGGCTGGAGGGCAGTTGCGTCCGGAATTGGTGGGTTCTTGGTCTCACTTCAAGAATGAAGCCGCGGACCCTCACGGTGATTGCTACAGTTCTTAAAAGACGCGTATCTGGAGTTTGTTATTTCTCATGTTCGGATGTGTTCGAAGTTTCTTTCTTCCGGTGGGTTCGTGGTCTCGGCAGCTCAGGAGTGAACCTGCAGATCTTCGCGGTGGGTGTTACAGCTTTTAAGGCGGTGCTTCTGGAGTTGTTCGTTCCTCCTGGTGGGTTCGTGGTCTCGATGGCTTCAGCTGTGAAGCTACAGACCTTCGCGGTGAGTCTCACAACTCATAAAGGCAGCGTGAACCCAGAGTGAGTAGCACCAAGAGTCATTGCAAAGAGCGAAAGAACGAAGTCTTCACACCATGGAAGATCAACCCCACCGCGTTACCACTGCTACCTCCCGCAGCCTGCTTTTATTCCCTTATCTGGCCCCACCCACATCCTGCTGATTGGTCCATTTTACAGAGAGCCGACTGGTCGGTTTTACAGAGAGCTGATTGGTCCGTTTTGACAGGGTGCTGATTGGTGCGTTTACAATCCCTGAGCTAGACACAAAAGTTCTCCAAGTCCCCACCAGAGTAGCTAGATACAGAGTGTCGATTGGTGCATTCACAAACCCTGAGCTAGACACAGGGTGCTGATTGGTGTGTTTACAAACCTTGAGGTAGATACAGAGTGCCGATTGGTGTATTTACAATCCCTTAGCTAGACATAAAGGTTCTCCAAGTCCCCGCCAGACTCAGGAGCCCAGCTGGCTTCACCCAGTGGATCCCGCACCAGGGCTGCAGGTGGAGCTGCCTGCCAGTCCCGGGCCGTGCGCCCTCACTCGTCAGCCCCTGGGTGGTCGATGGGCGGGGGGAGGCTCAGGCATGGCGGGCTGCAGGTCCCGAGCCCTGCCCCGCGGGAAGGCAGCTAAGGCCCGGTGACAAATTGAACACAGCAGCTGCTGGCCCAGGTGCTAAGCCCCTCACAGCCCGGCGCCGGCAGGGCCGGCCGGCCACTCTGAATGCTGGGCCCACCGAGCCCACGCCTACCCGGAACTCGCTCTGGCCCGCAGCACCGCGCGCAGCCCCGGTTCCCGCCCGCGCCTCTCCCTCCACACCTCCCCGCAAGCTGAGGGAGCCAGCTCCGGCCTTGGCCAGCCCAGAAAGGGGCTCCCACAGTGCAGCGGTGGGCTGAAGAGCCCCTCAAGTGCCACCAAAGTGGGAGCCCAAGCAGAGGAGGCGCGGAGAGCGAGCCAGGGCTGCGAGGACTGCCAGCACGCTGTCACCTCTCACAGTGGCCTGATCTCCACTCACTGCAAGCTCCGCCTCCCGGGTTCCAGCCGTTCTCCTGCGTCAGCCTCCCGAGTAGGTGGGTTTACAGGTGCCCGCCACCGCGCCCGGCTAATTTTTTGTGTTTTTAGTAGAGACGGGGTTTCACCGCGTTAGCCAGTATGGTCTCGATCTCCTGACCTCGTGATCCGCCCACCTCGGCCTCCCAAAATGCTGGGATTACAGACGTGAGCCACCGCGCCCGGCCTGGAATTCTGTTTCTACAGGCGCCTACAGAATCCCACGGTAAACCCTCCGATTAACCCAATAGATGTTTGCGGAGGAGGTGAGTGAGTGAGTGAGTTCCAGCTCTCCCTTTGAGCTGAAGCTATCAGACTTCAGAATCCCTGGCCGGCCATGGATGGTGAAGCCAGTGGCTCAGGAGAAGCGAATTCACAGACTAGCTGGAGGCCAGTCCAGGGCAGATGGCTGTTTCCGTAGAGGGATTTGGTGGGTGTGGCGCCCAAGTTGGGGAGCTGGGGTTATGTTGGGAGGCCAGCACTGAGGAATGGGTTCCTTTGGCCCACCTCCAAGAAGGTCAGTTCCAGGACTTGTACAGGAGATGTGAGGATTCAGAGCTGGAGGTCACCCCGGGGCCTTGCAAGTTCTACGACAGTAGATCAGTTGTGAGGAGAGGAGGTGAGGAAGGAAGCCACTGTTTTGAGAGAAATAGGAAGAATGATGCTTTTGTGGGAGGACCAGGCTTGTAGAAAAGCCCAAGATGCCTGAGAATTCCAGCATCCTTGTCAGAAGTCAAGGAAGAAGCTTCTTGGAAAAGCTGCAAGATGGAGACTGGTTTGAGGAGAAGACGAAGGGTCTGAGTTTAGAAACATTGTATTGGGGCCGGGCGCCTAATCCCAGCACTTTGGGAGGCTGAGGCTTATGGATCACCTGAGGTCAGGAGTTCAAGACCAGCCTGGTCAACATGTTGAAACCCCGTCTCTACTAAAAATACAAAAATTAGCTGGTCATTTTGGCATGCACCTGTAGTCCCAGCTACTCTGGAGGCTGAGGCAGGAGAATCACTTGAACCTGGGAGGCAGAGGTTGCAGTGAGCCAAGATTGCGCCACGGCACTCCAGCCTAGGCTACAGAGTGAGACATCGACTCAAAAAATAAAAATAAAAATAAAATAGCAACATGGTATTGGAAGAGCCCAGGAAGTTGAGCAGCCAAGGAGCTGAGACCTCCTGGATTTAGAAACATAAACCTCAAATCTGGGACAGGGATTGGAGCCAGAGGGGTGGGCTTGGGGACCATCTCAGAGAGTCTTGGCTGAAGCCAGGGGAGAGTGGAGGAGTGAGGCGAGAGCGATGAAGGAAGAAGCTCGGGACATGCATGGGTGGAGGCAGAAGGTGGGTGCTGGAGGAAGGGGAGGGCTGAGGTCTACCTATGCCAGGCACATAGTGAAGGCTGAGGCCAGGAGGAGAAGCCCTGGCTTTAGACTTGGACTGTTGGGAACTTGAACCCAGATGCTTACTGTGAGCCTCCATTGCCTTGTCTGTAACCTGGCTTAACAGTACCCATCTCACAAGGTCATTTTAAGGTGGATGGCATAGCACCTGCGGCTGTAGACTCCTCAGTATGCAGCAGTTATTATTTAGGAGAATGGGAATGGTGATTGGTGAGCAACGGCAGTAAAGGGTTAGGGTGAAAGTCTGCTTGGAGGACTCAGTAGCGTGTAGGAAAAAACTAGAAGTGATCACGTAGATCAATCCAGGGGAAGCGTGTCAGGAGAGGAGGGGGTGGGAGGGGCAGTGGGCAGTGACTAAGCTGATGGATGACAGGGTCTGGGGAAGGTTTTTCCCAGGTGGGAGGACATGGCCACATTTGTAGACAAGGAGAAATGTCCTTAAAAGATGCAAGAAGCCCAGAGCAGAAGGGAGATAGAGGTGTGGGGGACTGAACAAGAGCCCGGGGTGAATGGAGGGGGAGGGATTGAGGGCACAGGAGGAGTATGGGGGTGCCACGGGAAGGAGAAAATAGCAGACTCAGCAATGCAGGGAGGATGCCTCCCCAGTGTGAGACTTAGAGTGGCTGGGGGATCTGCCTGTCATTCAGGCTTCAGAGGCCCAGGAGGCCACTTCCATTGTACTTAGGCACCGGCTCCTGGAGTTCAGAGAGTGGGGCATTTGCGGCACTGTTGTGAGCTGTTGATTCAAAGGCCAACCTCATCCTGGTCTTCCAGGACCTGGCCCTGTTGTGGTCTGTGTGGGTTTCACAGTGGGCCATGGATATGCCAGTGTGCTGTGGCCATCTGCGAGGGGCAAGTCCTCACTTGGGAAAGGCTCCCAGGCTCCCTGGGCTCCCACTTACCTGTCTGTAAAATGGGTCAGTCCCACCGGTCTACCTCCCAAGGTGCCACTGAGGCGGCATGCCAAAGCCTTTTGGAAACAGAAAGAATTCTACAATCTCAGAGATGGTGACTGACACCAAGCGTATCTCGTAGATGAAACAGGTTTTCCTCCCTGGCTGCTTCTCAGGAGAGTGTGCAGGAAATGATTTTGAAGTGCTTTGATCTCCTTTGCAGAAAGACACTGAATCCATTCAATATGTTACGGCACATTAGCCCTTCTGCTTTGGAACCGAGGGTGACCAATTTTATTCAATAGCTGGTGACAACCTTTTGGAATTGCCTAAAACCCCTGAGCCCCATGAAGTCCTGGCCCCTATACTGGCCTGAGTATTGTTTCTGCTTCCGTCCCCACAGAGGACCCTGAAATAGGCCCGGGCTCCCTGTGAAGGTGATTCGGGGGCCAGCCCCCTGCTTATGCCGTCACATTCCTTGCTTTGTACCAGGGTGCCCATTCTTGGCAATTTTCCCGTGACTTGGGTCTGCTGGCCGTGCTCAAGTCCCAGTTCTGCCTTGTGGTTACTCCGCCTCTCTGAGGAACAGGAATAATCCTTGTTGCCACCACTTACTGAGTGCTGGCACTTTCCCCACATTGGTAAGGTCGATGCTCACAATACCCCAGTGAGGAGGTCTCTCATCTCCATCTTCCAGACCAGGTAACTGAGGCTTAGAGGGAACGAGCGCCTTGTCCGGGTCACTGAGCTACTGTGTCAGAGTTGGGGTTCAGACCTGGGGCTGTCCCATGCCAGGCCTGTGTTCTTTCCACTGTTATTACCTCCTATGGAAGCTGGGGATCCTACTCACTTCAGAGGAGTGTCATGAGCAATAGGTGAGTGTTGAAACATAGAAGGTGGGCATGGTGGCACGCACCTGTCGTCCCAGCTCCTCAGGAGGCTGAGGTGGGAGGATCACCTGAGCCTGGGTGGTGAAGGCTGCAGTGAGCTGAGATTGCACCACTGCACTCCAGCCTGGACAACAGAGTGAGACCCTGCCTCAAAATAAACAGAAAAGAAAAGAAACCTAGAAAGCTCATGCATATATATATGAGCCTTCTGGGTTTCTTTTCATACATATATATGTTTCCCAGGTGGGAGGATGTGGCCACATTTGTAAACAAGTAGAAATGTCCTTAAAAGATGCAAGAAGCCCAGTGCAGAGGGGAGGTAGAGGTGTGGGGGACTGAAGAAGAAGAGCCCTGCGTGAGTAGAGTAAGATTCTCAGTCAGACCCTTTGGTGAGCCCAGGTTCTGGGCCCCTGAACGTGCTCGCCCCCCATGCTCTGTCTGGTTGGCTCAGTGATTTCTGCAGCCCAGCGTCTCCTCTCCCACCTTCTTCTGGAAATCCTATGGCTTGGAGACTGACCATTCAATGCCTCCTTTCTGGTCCTGTCTGGTGTATCAGCAACACAGTGATGTGGTTTTGTCTTTCCTTTCCATGCTGGGCTCTGCGACTCCCCATTGTGTCTTCTGCTCTGGGACACCCTTATCATGCGACAGCGAATGTGAAGAACTTATGAGAATAGGATTAGCCACATCCCCTTTCCATTTCCCCCTAGTCAGAGGGCAGGCACACATTCAGCTGTCAGGGAGAAAACAGCACTTCTCCTCAACCCTCACAAGTTCATGGTTGGGAGACAGCCCTTTAACAGAAGACAGATTAACAAAGAAAAAACAAGCAAGTGTATTAACATGTGCACTGCACATCTCGTGGGAGAAACCTTGATGAAAGGTAACTCAAAGCAGTGGCTTAGAACTCTGCCCTATAAACCATCTTCAAAAAGAACAATATACTTTGGAGATGTGACAAGACAAAGCAAAGCAGTTCTAGGCTTCCGAGGGCAGGAAACTGTGGGAAGGTAAATATATGAAAGTACACTAATGGGGCAAGATTTGTTGGCAGCTTCCTCTGGTGCCCTCTCTAATCTGGTAAGAGCTGTCTCCGGTAAAGAAGAATTTGTATCCTGTCTTCAGGTGGAAAAGTGGGGAGGACAGAAAGAGCTCTTTCTCCATTTCCTGCTTCTTTTTTAAAAATTTAATTTAATTTAATTTAATTTTTTTGAGACAAAGTCTCGCTCTGTCGCCCAGGCTGGATTGCAATGGCGCGATCTTGGCTCACTGTAACCTCCTCCTCCTGGGTTCAAGTGATTCTTCTGTCTCAGCCTCCTGAGTAGCTGGGATTACGGGTGTGTGCCACCACACCCAGCTAATTTTTGTATTTTTAGTAGAGATGGGGTTTCACCATGTTGGCCAGGCTGGTCTCGAACTCCTGACCTCAAGTGATCCACCTGTCTCAGCCTCACAAAGTGCTGGGATTACAGGTGTAAGCCACCACACCCGGCCCATTTGCTGCTTCTTAATTGCCTTTAGCTCAAAAGTAGTTATGTCAAAGAGACATATCCTGGGGTGACACATTCTGGATTCCCCCAGTGATGCTGGGCCTCCCCTCCTCTTCACCTTGCTCAGTGCCTCTGCCCTCACTACCACCCCACTGCACCAACTGCACACAGGTCACAGCCACACAGGAGTCACATCCTTGGGATGTGTTGCCCTGAAGAACAGGGGAACAAGGCTGGGCATGATGGCTCATGCCCATAATTGCAGCGCTTTGGGAGGCAGAGGTAAGAGGGTGGCTTGAGACCAGGATTTCGAGACCATCCTGGGAAATATGGCAAAACCCCATCTCTATTAATAAAAAAGTTTTAAAAAATTATCCAGGCATGGTGGTGTGTGCCTGTAGTCCCAGCTACTGAGGAGGCTGAGGTGGGAGGATCCCTTAAGGTGGGAGGATTGCTCAAGGCTGCAGTGAGCCATGATTGTGCCACAGCACTCCAGCCTGGGAGACAGAGTGAGATCCCAACTGAAAATAAAGAAGAGGGGCTTAAAAAATGTAAATTTTGAGTCTTAAAAAGGTTTAAGTAGGCCGGCGTGATGGTTCACACCTCTAATCACAGCACTTTGGGAGGCAAAGGCAGGAGGATCACTTGAGCCCAAGAGCTGGAGACCAGCCTGGGCAACATAGTGAGATGCTGTCTCTTATAAAAAATAATTAATTTTAAAAACGAGCTGGGCACGGTGGCTCATGCCTGTAATCCCAGCACTTTGGGAGGCTGAGGCAAGAGGATCACTTGAGGCCAGGATTTTGAGACCAGCCTGGCCAGCATGGTGAAGCCCCATCTCTACTGAAAAAGAAAAAAAAAAAAGAAAAAAAATTAGCCAGGCGTGGTGGCGTGCACCTGTAATCCCATCTGTTTAGGAGGCTGAGGCAGGAGAACTGCTTGAACCCCGGAGGCAGAGGTTGTAGTGAGCCAAGATGGTGCCACTGCACTCCAGCCTAGGTGACAGAGTGAGACTCTGTCTCAAAAAAAATAAACAAACAAATAAATAATTTAAAAATGAATAAAGGAAACGCTCAAGGGCCTACAATCTGTCACCTCCTTCCATACACATCGAACAAACATTTTCCAATCCACAACAGAAAGATGCAGGTGGGAGCCATGGGTCCCTTCCTGTAGAATATTCATGTCCACCAGAGATTTCAGGCCTCCCTGGAACAATAGTGCTATCTAAGTAAGCCCTGCCCTTTGAGTTTAACCCTGGAAATAAAAGTGCAGGTAGGTTTGGCAGTTAGACTGACATCAGACTTAGAACCAGGCTTCCTGCTTTTCTAGACTGTGTCTGGTACCCGGAAGAGCCCTACCCCTGGGGCATTCCCTGTGCAGCCAGAAATGGGAAGGGGGGTACTTTCCCCTTACCTTCTGCAGGATGGAGAAATGGGGTCTCCAAATGCACCACCTTAGCTTCAACAAAGACTTTGACCCAGAATATTCTCTGTTCTCTCCTGGCATCTTCTGCTGCTGCCCCTGGCTGGCCTCATTGCCATGGAAACAGAAGGGGAGGATTGTTTTGGACTGGCTCAGCAATTCCCATGTGCTTGCCTCCTGGAAGGCAGCACAGAAGGCAAGGGGATGTTACCTCAGAAGGATTTGCTAGATCCTTGATTTTCAACTTTGAATCACTATGATGTATCTATTCTACTTTATGTAGAAAGAAGTATAAAAATCTTGGAAAATTCCTGCTGCTTCCATGGCTCTTTGATGTTTATCAAAAAGCATGCTCTCCTGGCTGTCAGGTTGGCTGCACAGCTTCCTGTTCTGCCCTTTTTTTTATTCCTTTTCATTTAGTATTAATAGTGCACTTACATTTTTATGGATGAACATAGTCACATACTTGTGATCTTTTCAAGTTTTATTATGAAAATATTAAATGCCAGCCTGGGCAACATAGTGAGACTCTGTCTCCAAAATTTTGTTTTGTTTTGTTTTGTTTTTGTTTCAGACAGGGTCTCACTTGGTCACCCAGGCTGGAGTACAGTGGCACGATCTCAGCCCACGGCAGGGTCGACCTCCTGGGCTCAAACAATTGTCCCACCTCAGCCCCCCAAGTAGCTGGGACTACAGAAATGCACTACCACACCCAACTAAGTTTTTGTAGAGACAGGGTCTCACCATGTTGCACAGGCTGGTCTAGAACACCTGAACTCAAGCGATCCACTCATCTTGGCCTCTCAAAGTGCTGGGATTACAGACATAAGCTACTGTGCCTGGCCCACAATTTTTTTTTTTTTTTTTTGGTGATTAGACAGGCACGGTGGTGCACACCTGCAAAGATCATGCTATTGCCCTCCAGCCTGGGCAACAGAGTGAAATCCTCTCTTAAAAAAATTTTTTTTATAAGTTTATTTTTCTTATTTTTTTTTTTTACTTTCTTCTTAACTGCTTCTTCAGCATTAAAAAAAAAAATTTTTTTTTTTTTTAAAGAAAATAGGCTGCGTGCAGTGACTCACACCTGCAATCCCAGCACTTTGGGAGGCCAAGGCAGAAGGATCGCTTGAATTCAAGAGTTCAAGGCCAGCCTGAGCAAAATCGGGACACCCTGTCTCTATCTATTTTAAGTTAAAAAAAGAAAATATTAACTAAGTCATACTGTTTATGTAACAGGTAAAAATGTATATAAATGTTCAATAAATTGTAAAGAAGAAAGAAGTTCCCTTGTGATCACACTTCCTACCCAATGATGGTTTGCATTTTGCAGAGTTCTTCGTCCATGGACACACAGGTATTGGTGGTGTTGCCATGATTATAACAATCCCTTTTGCTGGCTGCCTTGTATCCTGTGCCATCAAGGACCATGTGTTTTGAGGCAATTGATCTGTCCTGCTCCTTCCCAGTGCCAAGCTTGGCATGCACCAAGCATGCAGTGCTTGACAGAGGAAGGTGAAGATGCTATTCAGTTCAAGGCTCCAGGAAGGTGATTTGGGAGGTGGGGCAAGTCTTGAATGGAGAGACAGAGAGGGCAACCCTTGTGCCAGGAGGAAAGGAGAGGCTGTGGGGACCTGGGTGTGGCCCTCCGAGCCCCTGTGGTTGATCTCCACTGCCTGTCCCATAGCCTCTGGTCCCCTTCTGCCTTCTCTTTGGGCGCTCTCAGCCTGGATCCTTCTTACAGTGAACCCTAGGAAACCACTCTAGGCACCCATCCTAGGGTGGCACCCACTGGTGCCAGATGTGCCTGTCCCTGGGGGAAGACAGGTGGACAGGGACTGTGGGTTGCAGCCACCCAGAGCTCTCACCAGCTGGAGGAGCAGCACTGCCTCTGGGGCGGTTCAGGTGGAACACCCAGATCTCTTTTCCCAAACAACAAATGCCAGGAAATCATAAACTACCAAACATTGTGAGTGGCCGTCATCCAATTCTGAAAGTAAAACTTCCTACTTTAGTAGCAGAAACCAAAATTGGGTGTGAGAGGATCACCATTAGGTGCCAACACCATTTCAAGTGGAAGCCCCACCTTCTCCAGCTTCCGGTAAAAGTATACATGCATCTCTTTTTAGTTCTCAAGCACTTACCTTAAGGTATATTACCTTAATTCCCAAATTGACTCTGCAAAGTGGGGCAGTATTCCTTATTTTGAAGATTGATATGATTTGGCTGTGTCCCCACCCAAATCTCATCTTGAATTGTAGTTCCCATAATCCCCACCACGTGTCATGGGAGGGACCCAGTGGGAGGTAATTGAATCATGGGAACCGTTACCCCCATGCTGCTGTTCTCATGATAATCAGTGAGTTCTCATGAGATCTGGTGGTTTTATAAGGGGCTTTTCCTCCTTTTGCTCAGCACTTATCCTTGCTACTGCCATGTGAAGGACGTGTTTGCTTCCCCTTCTGCCATGATTGTAAGTTTCCTGAGGCCTCCCTAGCCATGATGAGCTGTGAGTCAGTCACAGTCAGCTGTGAGTCTTTCCTTTATAAATCACCCAGTCTCAGGTATGTCTTTATTAGCAGTGTGAGAATGGACTAATACAAAGATGAATATCCAGACTTAGGAATAAGACTTTGACTATAAATCCTACATTCCTTTCCACGTATTTTTCCCACACTACCTACTTTAAGAAGGGCAGTGATGAGTCAAACTGTGTCATGGGGTGAGAGGCCCTGAACCACATAATAACGAGAACAGTTGAAGAAAGTGGGGCCTGTAAGCCCAGTGACTCAGGAGTCTGAGGCTGGAGGATTGCCTGAGGCCAGGAGTTTGAGACCAGTCTGGGCAACGTAGCAAAACCCGAAGAAGAAATTAGCCGGGCATTGTGGCATGTGCCTGTAGTACTAGCTACTCAGGAGGTTGAGGCTGCATGATCAAATTCCTTGAGCCCAGGGGTTCCAGGCTGCAGTGAGCCATGATTGCACCACTGCATTCCGGCCTGGGCAACAGAGTGAGCCCCCAACTCCAATATGGAAGTAGGAATGATTCACCTGTGGAAGGTGTGAAAGTTGCCAGAATCAAAATGGAGTCACTGTGTTAAAAAACAAACAGGCTGGGCTTGGTGGCTCATGCCTGTAATCCCAGCACTTTGGGAGGCCAAGGCGGGTGGATCACCTGAGGTCAGGAGTTCGAGACCAGCCTGGCCAACATGGTGAAACCCCATCTCTACTAAAAATACAAAAATTAGCTGGGCGTGGTGGCAGGTGCCTGTAGTCCCAGCTACTGTGGAGGCTGAGGCAGGAGAATGGTGTGAACCCTGGAGGTGGAGCTTGCAGTGAGCTGAGATTGTGCCACTGTACTCTAGCCTGGGCAGAGTGAGACTCCATCTCAAAAAACAAAACAAAATAAACACGAATAAACAAACAAAGCCAGAAGGCCATGAAGAGAGGGTTCTTATGCATAAATGCCTGATAACAAAAACTATCATAAAAGATGCTACAAAAACCAAAACCTTACTTGGGCCACTGTAACCTTAACACACACAAAAATTCTTCAAGGACATCTGCTCAGCAACTGCCTGTTCAACCTCAGACTGCTGCCACCCTTGTTATTGATCCTTGTAGCCAAGGATAGTTATCTCAAAACAATATGTAATCCTCATTTTTCCTTTAAAAACTTTTGTCTTTCTTCCCTTCCTGAATATGCAGTTTACTGTGGCACGTGTATTCCCATTGCAATGCTCTATTGCTGAATAAATATTTTACTTTAGAGACAGCCTCTCTCTGTTTTTTTAGATTGACACAGGGAAGACAGTGGGGACCTGATGACTCTCTTCAGTTACATGGAAGATAAATTAAATTCTCTGGTGGCTGGGTGCAGTGGCTCACGCCTGTAATCCCTGCACTTTAGTAGGCCAAGGCAGGTGGATTGTTTGAGCCCAAGAGTTCAAGACCAGCCTGGGCAACATGGTGAAACCCTGTCTCTACAAAAAATAGAAAAATGAGCTGGGTGCAGTGGCGTGCACCTATGGTCCCAGCTACTCGGGGGCTGAGGCAGGAGGACTGTTTGAGCTGGGAGGTCAGCGTTGCAGTGAGCCAAGATTGTGCCACTGCACTCCATCCTGGGTAACAGAGTGAGATCCTGTCTCAAAAATAAATAAATAAGATAAATTATTCTCTGGTGTACCAAAGGCATAATTAATGAGGTTAAGACAAGGGAAAGCAAAGTTGAGATATATATGTGAGTGTGTATCTTAAATATATATACCTAATATATATATATCTCCCTATGTATAATATATATGTATATATCTCCCTATATATATAAAATAAATACTTAAAACTTTCTGAAACGTAATTACTTGAGTGACTGGTGAGGTTTTTTTTTTTTTTTTATCACTGAAGGTATTCAAATAAAGGTTGACTGTTACAGAAGACATTCAAGTAAAATGACTTTTTATTTATTTATTTTTTTTGAGACAGGGTCTTGCTCTGTCGGCCAGGCTGGAGTGCAGTGGCACGATCTCGGCTCACTGCAACCCCTGCCTCCCGGGCTCAAGCAATTCTCCTGCCTCAGCCTCCTGAGTAGCTGGGATTACAGGCATGTGCCACCACGCCCGGCTAATTTTTGTATTTTTTTTTTTTTTTTAGTAGAGACAGGGTTTCACCATGTTGGCCAGGCCGGTCTCAAACTCCTGACCTCAGGTAATCTGCCTGCCTTGGCCTCCCAAAGTGCTAGGATTAAAGGCGTGAGCCACCGCACCTGGCAGTAAAATGACTTTTAAGATATGTTCTGAGGCTGGGCGTGGTGGCTCATGCTTGTAATCCCAGCACTTTGGGAAGCTGAGGCAGGCGCACCACGTGAGGTCAGGAGTTTGAGACCAGCCTGACCAACATGGAGAAATCCCATCTCTACTAAAAATACAAAATTAGCCAGGCGTGGTGGCACATGCCTGTAATCCCAGCTACTCGGGAGGCTGAGGCAGGAGAATCACTTGAACCTGGGAGGCGGAGGTTCTGGTGAGCAGAGATCACGCCATTGCACTCCAGCCTGGGCAACAAGAGCAAAACTCCATCTCAAAAAAAAAAAAAAAAAAAAGACATGTTTTGACCCTGAAATTCTATGATGAGTTCAAGCTGAACATCAAGTATGGCCAACAGGGATTGCTGAAGGATGACAGGAAGGGTGCGGTGGCTCGCGCCTGTAATCCCAGCACTTTGGGAGGCCGAGGTGGGTGGATCACCTCAGGTCAGGAGTTCGAGACCAGCCTGGCCAACATGGTGAAACCCCATCTCTACTAAAAATACAAAAATTAGCCGGGCATGGTGGCATGTGCCTGTAGTCCCAGCTACTAGGGAGGCTGAGGCAGGAGAATCACTTGAACCTGGGAGGCAGAAGTTGCAGTGAGCCGAGATCACACCACTGCATTCTAGCCTGCAACAGAGCAAGACTCCGTCTCAAAAAACAAAACAAATAAACAAAGCCAGAAGACCATGAAGAGAGGGTTCTTATGCATAAATGCCTGATAACAAAAACTATCATAAAAGACTCTACAAAAACCAAAACCTTACTTGGGCCATTGTAACCTTAACACACAAAATAATGGTCCGTAGTCCGGGCACGGTGGTTCACACCTGTAATCCCAGCACTTTGGGAGACTGAGGCTGTCGGATCACTTGAGGTCAGGGGTTCAAGACCAGCCTGGCCAACATGGTGAAACCCAGTCTCTACTAAAAATACAAAAATTAGCTGGGCATGGTGGCGGGCACCTGTAGTCCCAGCTACTCGGGAGGCTGAGGCAGGAGAATTGCTTGAACCTGGGAGGTGGAGGTTGCAGTGAGTGAGATTGCGCCACTGAACTCCAGCCTGGGCGACAGGGCAAGACTTCATCTCAAAAAAAAAAAAAAAAAAAGGTCCATGAAGCACTTTCAGACCCAGTACCTTAGACCTAGTGTCATCCCGGAAGTTGCCATAGCCCTTTCCTTTCCCCACTTGGAGCTTATCACTGCCTCTTAGCCCACTGCTGGACGAGACTCAGCTGTCCTCCTCCACTCCTCTCTCCAGAAAACTCCACTGCCATGAGCATGGAGGGAAACAGCCTTGTCCCCCAGGACCACAGCCCTGTAGAGTTCCTGTGAATGTGCACAACTCAAGCAGGCTCTCCCCACGGCCTACGCCAGAACACAGGGCAGGAGACACCAAGGGCTCCAGCCCAGCCGAGGATTTCAGGGCTCTCAGGAACGGATGAGCAATGCCTTTTTAAAAAGTGATCAGTAAAGTGAAGCAGCCGAAGATGTGCTGAGTCCCAGTGGTGTCTGAAGGGTGCTGGTTGGGGCTTGGGAGAGGATGAGTATTTTTGGGGAGAAACAAGGATGATTTGGGGCCCCCTGGATTTGGTGGGCCAGGCCAAATAGAAGTGAGTCAGGCAGGCTGCTGGTAAATACAGCAGACAAATAGGCTTCTCTAAACAGCATGTAAGGCCGTGGATTTGGAGGTTTGTAATAAGAGGTTGCAGAAAAGCAGGGAACTTAAATCGATCCTAGAAACAATTAGGAATCTACTTCTACCCTTCTGCTGTCGCATGGTGTAGCAATATTGGCCCAGTGCCAGGGAGGGGAGAAATTCTCAATTCAAATGCTTCGGCTGCTCCTTCAAGATGAATTTGGTTTTTCAATCCACTCAATGTCTTGGGAGCTCTAAATCTGTCTTGTATAAGTGATGTGTTGTCTGCAGTTGAGAGCATCAAATCAGTGCTGAAAGAGCATTATACACTGAAAACCTGTATCAGTGTAAGGCATTATTATTACTCTGTTACTCAAGCGGAGGGATGTCCTGCAGGATGGAAAATTGAGGCAATTGAGGCAAATATTCAAAAAATATGTGTCAAATGACTTTGTTACACATTTCTTAAAAATCTGCAAAAATATGCAATATACTTACTGAGAATATTAATGTGAGGTTGGAGGCAGAATAACTCATAGAATTTTAGAAGGGGCGTTCATAACCATCTATGGAGGGTGGACTTGAGGATCTCATGGAAATCATGGCTCCTCTCAGAAAAGTGCACAAAACACAGATTTATGAAGTTACACAGAATTTTTATTTCTTTATTTAAAAAAAAATAGAGACAGGGTCCGAGAGGCTGAGGCAGGAGAATCGCTTGAACTTGGGAGTTGGAGGTTGCAGTGAGCCGAGATCGTGCTGCTGCACTCCAGCCTGGGTGAGAGAGTGAGACTCTGTCTCAAAACAACAACAACAACAACAACAACAAACAGAGACAGGGGCTTACTGCTGCCCAGGCTGGTCTTGTCACAAAATCCTGGCCTCAAGCAATCCTCCTGCCTCAGCCTTCCAAAGTGCTAGGATTACAGGTGCTCAGTCGGAATTTTTAAATATATATATTTAAATATATACACAAATATATATATATATTTGTGCATTGGAAATTAATTTCCTTCACACATTCAGAACATTTATAAAAACTTTACAAAGAACTGCCTCTCAGGCTGGGTGCAATGGCTCACACCTGAAATCCCAGCACTGTGGGAGGCTGAGGAGAGTGGATCACTTGAGCCCAGGAGTTTGAGACCAGTCTGAGCAACATGGAGAAAACCCATCTCCACTAAAATAAATACAAAAATGGCTAGGCACAGTGGCTCACGCCTGTAATCCCAGCACTTTGGGAGGTCGAGGCGGGCAGATCATGAGGTCAGGAGATCAAGACCATTCTGGCCAACATGGTGAAATCCCGTCTCTACTAAAAATACAAAAATTAGCTGGGTGTGGTGGCGTGTGCCTGTAATCCCAGCTATTTGGGAGGCTAAGGCATGAGAATTGCTTGAACCTAAGAGGCGGAGGTTGCAGTGAGCCAAGATCGCGCCACTGCACTCCAGCCTGGTGACAGAGTGAGACTCTGTCTAAAAAAAAAAAAAAAAAAAAAAATTAGCCAGGTGTGGTGGTGTGCTCCTATATTCCCAGCTACTCGGGAAGCTGAGGTGGGAAGATCACCTGAGCCTGGGGAGGTCGAGGATGCAGTGAACTGTGATCACACCAATGCCCTCTAGCGTGGGTGACAGAGTAAGATCCTGTCTCAAACAAACAAACCCCCCAAAAAAATGCATCTCCAAGTCTCTTTTTTTTTTGTTTTTGAGGCAAAAGTCAGTAGCCAATATTTGTAACCCCCAAACTTGAAACTATCCAAATGTTCAATAGAATGGAAATATACAAATTTAGGCATAGGCCGCTCTGCCTACAGAGTAGCTATGCTTTATTCTTTCACTTTCTTAATAAACTTGCTTTCACTAAAAAAAAAAAAAAAAAATTTAGGCATATCCACACAATGAAACCCTATGCAGCAGTAAGAATTAACACCATAAACACATGAGAAAATATAAATTTCACAAACATGTTGACTGAAAAACACAAAAGAATATATGCTCTATAATTCCACTTACTACAATAATCAAAATGAATCTATGGTATTAAAAGTCAGGATAGGCCGGGCGTGGTGGCTCACGCCTGTAATCCCAGCTCTTTGGGAGGCCGAACCAGGTAGATTACCTGAGGTCAGGAGTTTGAGACCAGCCTGGCCAACATGGTGAAACCCCGTCTCTACTAAAAATACAAAAATTAGCCAGACGTGGTGGTGGGTGCCTGTAATCTCGGCTACTCAGGAGGCTGAGGCAGGAGAATCACTTGAACCCGGGAGGCAGAGGTTGCAGTGAGCCGAGATTGCGCCACTGCACCCCAGCCTGGGCCACACACCCCACCCAGCCTGGGCGACAAGAGCAAAGCTCCGTCTATATAAAAAAACAACAGGATAACAATTATCCTTGGCAGAGTAAGTATTGACTAGAACGGGGCAGGATTCTGAGATGCATTGATTTCAGTTTGTGAAAACTAATTGAGCTGTAAAATTGTAATCTGTATACATTTGTGTTTTTGGTATGTATGTTATACTTTAATTAGAAAATCTTTTAAAAAGAATGGAGCTTTTCAGTTCCTGTAAACAGCATTAAAATAAATCCAAAGAATATAAAATAGAATAAAACTCTAATGCTGCTCAAAGTATATTACTAGGTTGGTGCAAAAGTAATTGCGGTTGTTGCCATTGAAAGTAATGGCAAAAAAAAAAAAAAAAAGTAGGTGCCATCTGGCTTTTAAAAATTTGTAATTGTGACACAGTGCGTCATATGGTATGTAGGGAGAACTCTAACCATGTTTTTCCTCACTCTCACAGCACAACAATCATCCATGCAGAAGATTTCTGTGACCAAACGTTGGAGGTGATTTCCCCATACACCAAGCAGTGGACACCAGCTGGGTGTCCTCTAATTCATTTCTGACACTGTCTACCCAGAGATGGCATCAGATCCCACACGTTGAGGGTTCAGTCCCCAAGACTGCCCACCCACCAAAACCGGTCACAAGTCTGGGCCTCTAGGACTGGCTTCAAGTTGGGGTTCCCATGACCCCCTCTTTGATTAATTTGGTGGAGTGGCTCACAGAGCTCAGGGAAACACATTTACCAGTTTGTTACAAAAAATATTACAAAGGATACAGATGGCTGGGCGCGGTGGCTCACACCTGTAATCCCAGCACTTTGGGAGGCTGAGGCGGATTACCTGAGGTCAGGAGTTCAAGACCAGCCTGGCCAACATGGCGAAACCCCGCCTCTACTAAAAATACAAAAATTAGCCGGGTGTAGTGGCCCACGCCTATAATCCCAGCTACTTGGGAGGCTGAGGCAGGAGAATTGCTTGAACCTGGGAGGCGGAGGTTGCAGTGAGCCAAGATCGCGCCACTGCACTCCAGCCTGGGTGACAGAGTGAGACTCTGTCTAAAAAAAAAAAAAATGAAAAATAAAAAATAAAAAAAATGCATGAAAAACATAAAAAAAGGAAACAGATGAAGAGACACGTGGGGTGAGGTATGGGGAATGCACACAGAGCTTCTAAGCCCTCCGTGGGGGGTGGGGGGTGTGGGGGGCGCCACCCTCCAGGAACCTCCCCGAGTTCAGGTATCGGGAACCTCCCTGAACCGTCCTCAAGGGTTTTTATGGAAGCTTCAGGACCTCCGCATTCTTTCCCCCAGGGTATAGAGGGAACCTCTCTGGGTAGGATCTTAAGACCCACAATCTGAAAGCCTGAGAAAGATTAGAGGCCTGTCTTGGGGCAGGTGAAAGGAGGGCAGGAGAAGGAGAGATTCTGTTTCCTGAGGCCTAACACATACCCAATATTACAACAAAAGAACTAACAACGGCTATAGCAGTTATGAGCCCGGAACTGTGGACGAAAACCAATGTCTATCATAACACCACATGTGGTATAGTAGACATCTGTTATTTTTGTCTGCCCTGTCTACATTCTCTCTTACCTGTTAAGAAGCCTCAAATTTCCTTGGGAAACCACTTGTATTAGTTTCCTATTGCTGCTGTAACAAATTAGCAACAACTCAGTGGCTTAGATAAAACACAAATTTATTCTTACAGTTCTGTAGTTTAGAAGTCTGACACAAGTTTCGCTGGGCTAAAAATCAAGGTATCGGCAGGCCTGTTTTCTTCTCTGGAGTTTCTAAAAGAAAATCCGCTTCCTTGCCTCTTCGCTGCTAGAAGCCACCTAGACTCGTCAGTCTGTGATCTCTCCCTCCATCTTCAATGCCAGCAATGTTGCATCTGCCTGACCATTCTCCTACTCCTATCTCTAACACACTTCTCTCTCACTCTTCCATTTTTAATGGCACTTGTGATTACATTGGGCCCACCCAAAATTCCAAGGTACTCTCCCCATTTTTTGCTTTGTCCTTTTTTTCTTCTAAATCTCCCTATTTTAATGTCAGCTGATTAGCACTCTTAATTCCCCTTTGCCATGTGACATGCCAAATTTACAGGTTCTGAAGGCCTGCCTGAAAGTGACACTAACAGAAGCAGCAAAGGGTGAAGAGAGAGACCAAATCTCATGACTTTGTTACAGCCCTTCGATTTGACTGTAGCGAAACCAGAAATGTCTCTGGGCTTTTCAGTTATATGAACCTTCTCCTCTTAAGTCAGTTTGAGTTGGGGTCCCCAAACTTGCAAATGAGAGTCTTGATTGTTATATATGACAGCATGTGTTATGTTTGATGTTGAATACATTTAAGTTATTTTTGTTTTATTTTAATGGCAATAAGTAATGATGAGTATGGGAATATCAAGAGACACATCAAACTTCAACTTCCAGTAATGGTAGAAAAGGTCATTGGGACCACTCTCCTATCAAAGAAAACTGAAAAAGTTGGAGATCGCACCACTGCACTCCAGCCTCGGTGACAGAGCGAGACTCTGACTCAGAAAAAAAAAAAAAAAAATCCATACTGAAGACACATCAAAATGACATTGCAGAGCCAGCCGGGCATGATACAATGGTCAGAGTTGGGGATCCTGACTTTGCTCAGCGGCAGTGGTACAGTTCAATGCAATGGTGGCAGGGCTATGCTTCCAGCAGAGCAGCAGTGGGGGTGGGCACTGGGAGCTTCCTGATCTTTGGGCAGCATCCTCTTCTCTTTGGCTCAACCAGCCTTCCTGACATTACTATAGTCAACCCCTTCCACCAAATCCCTTTTTGCTTAAAATATCTGGAGTTATTTCTGTTTTTTTTTTTTAAGTGAATGCTGACTGATTGGAATACTATAAAAAAGAAACATTACCAAAATAAGGAGTTAATTGGATATTAAAAACATGAAATCAGAAATAAAAAATTCAATTGAAAGGTTAGAAAAGAATGTTGATGAAATCACCCTGAAAGTAGGGAAAAACAAAATAAAAAAATAAAACAGGGGCGTGGTGGCGAGCATCTATAGTTCAAGATACTTGGGAGGGCGAGGTGGGAGGATTGCTTGAGCCCAGGAGTTTGAGGCTGCAACGAGCTATGATTGCTCCACTGCATTCCAGCCTGGGTGACAGAGCGAGACCCCCCTTTCTCTCAAAAATAAATATGGCCAGGCCTGGTGGCTCACACCTGTAATCCCAGCACTCTGGGAGACTGAGTCAAGCAGATTGCTTGAGTTCAGGAGTTCGAAACCAGCTTAGGCAACACGGCAAAGCCTTGCCCCTACAAAAAATAAAATTAAATTAAAAATTAAAAAAATAATAATAAAAAAATACATAAAACAAAAACCCAGCCAGGCACAGTGGCTCACGCCTGTAATCCCAACACTTTGGGAGGCTGAGGCCCACAGATCACTTGAGGTCAGGAGTTCAAGACCAGCCTGGCCAACATGGTGAAACCCTGTCTCTACAAAAATACAAAAATTAGCCAGGCATGATGGTGGATGCCTGTAATCCCAGCTACTAGGGAGGCTGAGACAGGAGAATCATTTGAACCCAGGAGGCGGAGCTTGCAGTGAGCTGAGATGGCACTACTGCACTCCAGCCTGGGCGACAGACAGAGTCTCGGGAAAAAAAAAATTATTAAACAATAGAACTTGGTGCATCTCTTTAATCTGTCTCTGAACTCAGTTGACTGACACATCATTATTAGTAGTCTGCCCTCACTAATCATTTTCATCACATACAGATCTCATATCTTTGGGTGACACTTCCCATGTCTCTGGAAATCTTTTAAATTGCTTTCAGTTACAACAGAAGGGCAAGGTTTTCATCTAGTCATACTCTACTCCACCAGAGGCAAAACCACCTCCCTTAATTATCTTGTTTAAATTGTGGCTGTTCGCCCCGTCCGGGAGGTGAGGGGTGCCTCTGCCCGGCCGCCCCTACTGGGAAGTGAGGAGCCCCTCTGCCCGGCCAGCCGCCCCCTCCGGGAGGGAGGAGGAGGGGTCAGCCCCCCGCCCGGCCAGCCGCCCCGTCCGGGAGGTGAGGGGCGCCCCTGCCCGGCCACCCCTTCTGGGAAGTGAGGAGCCCCTCTGCCCAGCCACCACCCCATCTGGGAGGTGTACCCAACAGCTCACTGAGAACGGGCCATGATGACAATGGCGGTTTTGTGGAATAGAAAGGGGGGAAAGGTGGGGGAAAGATTGAGAAATCGGATGGTTGCCGTGTCTGTGTAGAAAGAAGTAGACATGGGAAACTTTTCATTTTGTTCTGTACTAAGAAAAATTCTTCTGCCTTGGGATCCTGTTGATCTGTGACCTTACCCCCAACCCTGTGCTCTCTGAAACATGTGCTGTGTCCACTCAGGGTTAAATGGATTAAGGGCGGTGCAAGATGTGCTTTGTTAAACAGATGCTTGAAGGCAGCATGCTCATTAAGAGTCATCACCACTCCCTAATCTCAAGTACCCAGGGACACAAACACTGCGGAAGGCCGCAGGGTCCTCTGCCTCGGAAAACCAGAGACCTTTGTTCACTTGTTTATCTGCTGACCTTCCCTCCACTATTGTCCTATGACCCTGCCAAATCCCCCTCTGCGAGAAACACCCAAGAATGATCAATAAAAAAAAAGACTCCATCTCAAAAAAAAAAAAAAGAAAAAAAAATTGTGGCTGTTTGCAAACAAATAAAGAACTTATTTTTAACACACAAAAAGTACAGTATAATCTCTATGCTGTAACAGTAAGTCCATTTTCATTAAATATTTTGATTTTTATTATCTCTCTACAAAGAAACTACAAAAATACCCATAAAAGCATCGAAAATGTACTTTAAAATTCTGAACTGTTATGATACATCTTCTATGATTTACAAGAGTAAAATGTTAAATTCTCCAAGTTAGAATTTCTGAATTGATTTTGACAGGAATTTACTAGAAGTAACCAGAACATCAAAGCTTACAGGTTTTCTATTCATCCCCAATTAAGTTTCTGAAAAGCTACACATCCGTTGACAAGCACAGTCCACTCAGTTACATGATGCTGCCACTAATGGTGAGGCTACTCTGAAGGGCAGAGGTCTATATGATGGAAATGCCCAGCCTTCCAGGCAACTGCTCAAAGTGGTCTTATTTTTTCCCTTATGTGTAAAATAAAAGTACAAATGTACATATGGTAAAAAATGTAAATATTACAGAAAGAGCTAAAATAATAAGTACATAGCCTTTTCTCCCATACCACAGCAAATCTGATGTTTTCAAAATCCTCAAATAGTCACATGAGTAACTCACAAACTAAAGTCAACCTTGGAGTCTCTTTATCTGAAAATTATTTTCAGGCCTTTGGAACGGTGTTGATTGTCTCATATATTACCTCTGTTACAGAGGAAAGTCATGCAGTCTTCTCCTTCTCAAAAAAAAGAAAAATATTTAAAGCAACACACACATACTGTTCAGAGACAGCAAAGTCCAGACAGCATCGCAGAATCCATTGGATCTAGTCATGGCTCTGGAGAGTCCCCGGTATCATCCCTGAAATTAAGGAAGCACACTTACTAACAAGCCATTTTCAAAAGTAAGAAAACTTTCTCTTAATCAAAAAAGAGAAAGTTTTTATTAGAAAGTGTTCTCTTTTATTAGAAAGTTTATTAGAAAGTTTTCTCTTAATCAAAATGAGGTCATCTGATTCTTGTAATCTCAACACTTTGGGAGGCCAAGGCAGGAGTTGCAGTGAGCCACGATGGCAACACTGATGACAGAGACCCTGTCTTATAAAAATAAAACAACAACAATAACAACCAAAAGAAATTAGGGTCATCTGGTTATTATTTAATAGAAAGATATCTTTTATCTAACATTGCACAAAAGGGCACAAACCACATTGTCCCAGGCAGTCAAAACTAGATCAACCTTTACTAGAGAACAAAGGGAAGGCGAGGTGACAAGGGACTATGGATGGAGAAAGGAAATTACTTGAGAAATTCCAGCCCCAGTCCTGTGAAAGAGGATGAGCTTACCCCCTGGCTGAGCAGGAAAGACTGACAGAAACACTGGGTGCAGGAGCTCAGCCGAGTCCCTCCTCAAGGCCCCGGATCCTCCGGGCCAGTTGCACATCCTTTGGGAAGAGAGTAACTCGGCCTGCATGTAAGGTGAGGAGATAGGCGTCCTCAAAGAGATGAACTAGAAATGCTTCTGCTGCCTGGAGACAGAAAGAGAAAAAGACGGACACAGATGAAGGGCCACGGGCTGCTTTTTTTTGGAAACCTGCTAAACTTAATCTCTGAGGGCTCAAAGGATTGTAGGAAACTATTCACAGAATGAGACTGAACTTTGCCAGGGAATTCTGCTATCACCACGCAGAATCCAGCCTCCAAACCCTCAGAGGTTACCTCATTGTTCTTTTCCAGAGGTCAGATTCAGCATGTGACACTCCAGTCAGCACTGGAGAATTCTAGGCTGCCTCTTTCTCCCACTCAGCCCTCACCCAATTGTGCCTTGGTGCCTTCTTACCTCTTGTAGGGCCAATAGGGCCTGGGCTTGCCAATTGAAGTCCACACCACGAGTGAATTTAACACATATTTCTCTTGCCTGTGAAGGAGTGGGGAAGGGGAGGAGTAGGAGTAGGGAGTAACAGAAGAGAGATTCAAGGGACAATGATGCTCTCCATGAGTTCCAGTGAATCTTCCTTTCCATTATTTTTTCCTGGCTCTTAATCTTAGGACCCAATTAGGAGCAGGTGTTGACTCCTGGGAGCTTAGGAACTGGCGGATCTCTTACTGGTGATGGGGAAATCACCAGTAATTGGGTGATGAGAGGCAATCTCCCAGGATAGGAAAAGGGATCTAAGGTGGACAAACGAGAGAGTTCCTATTTATACAGTCAAAAACTACAGTTTTAAAAAGGTAGTAGAGGTTAGAAATCAATTCCATAAAGAATTACAAGGTGCTCTTGGAGGGCTCATGTTTTCAGAAAAGAATCCCCTACCAGGTTACAAAAGAGGTCCCTTGGCCAGTTAGTTAAGAGACAGTAGGGTCCCTAATACCTGGGAAAATTTAAAAAAAGGAGGGTGGCATAGGGGTTGGTGGGAAGCTCCCGGAGCTTACCAGGCGGCTGAAGGGCAGCTTCCTTATCAAGAGGTGTGTGCTCTTCTGAAGCTTTCGGATCTCCTTTAGCCAACCTTGTCTCCGCCGACTGTGTTGATGGGAGGAAGCGCCTGAGCAAAAGAAAGGTAAGTTCAGTGGAAAATAGGTGGTGCCTCGCAGCTTGGCTGAGTCAGGTAAGCTGTCAAATTGCTAGACTATATCTATGTGCCTACCCTCCACAGAGCAGGGATTTTTGTCTGTTTTATTAGGTTGCTGCAAAAGTCATTGCAGTTATGGCAAAAACCACAATACTTTTGCACCAACCTGATATATAGTAATTTTGCTGCTATCTTCAGCAATTAGAAAATAGCAGATAGGTGCTAAATAAACATTTGTTAAATGAATGAGTGAATGATCCTCTGCAGTTGATTTTAAATGCTAACTCTTCCATGAAGTCTTTCCCGAATCCTGATCCTTCCAAACAGATGGGTGACCGCCCTCCTCTGGGCTTTGCAGGACTTTGTACAAGTCTTAGATCTTTCCCACCTAGATTGGAAGCTCAGTTATTTTGGTTTTAGATTTTTTGTTGGTTTGTTTTTTACAGCTGGAAAGAATCTGAGAGACTAGTACAATTCCCTTGTCTTGATCATCCTGAGGCCCAGCGAGGTGAAGATGGTTGGCCAGCCCTCATTAGTGGCCAAGCTGAGACCTGTGTAAGGTGTGGCCTAACTCAGTGTCAGTGTCAGGCACCTGGGCTGTGGAGACAGAGCCTTTGGCTCAAATCCTGGTTCCAACAAGAACAAAAAAGAAAATAATTTTAAAAACATTCCCAAAAGTAGGAATCAAAAAAGCCAAATTCTCTAATTGGAAATTAAAAACTCATGAATCAAAAACCAGTTTCTTCTAACTAACCTGTGTTGAAGAGGAAACTTAATTGAAATTAGACTATTTGGAAATGAATAACAATAAAAAGCCCATATCCCAAAACTTATGAGATACAGCCAAAATAGTACTAGAGGAAAATGCATAGCCTTAAAGTGTTCCTATTAGAAAACAAGAACACTAAAAGGTATCTGAGCCAAGCAGTCAAATTAAGTATTACAGAGTTATTAAAGTAAACCAAAACAAGATAGAACAAAAGAAATATTAGAAAATAAGTTAGTGAAAATAAAGTTAAAGAAAAAACAGCACAGTTGCTCCATAATTACAACCAAGGATCAAGATGAGTGAACATCTGATAAGTTGAACAAACAAAATACAAAAATAACATGTTGACGGATAAAATTGTTTCAGAAATGTTATTCAGGATCCAGCCAAGCAAAGAGACTCTACACCAAGTTCGATAGAAGGCATTTAATACAATAAACTAATCACGAAGTGTTAGAAGAGCTGCAAGAGCAAGTAGGGTAGGTGAGACAATCCAGAGATGGCCTGTGCCAGGCAGCCAGCAGAGGAGACCATCCCTGGGTGAGGCTAGAGAACACAGGCCAATGAAACAGGGCAGTGTCCAGAAGACTGATAACATTTAAAACTGGGAAGACCCATGCCCAGGAGAAAAACTACTGACACCTCCCTCCCTCCCCACCACCAGTTGGCAATCCAGTCACTGGAGGCAGTCTTTAATAAACAGACATAGGGCTGGGTGCGGTGGCTCACGCCTGTAATCCCAGCACTTTGGGAGGCCAAGGTGGGTCAATCACCTGAGGTCAGGAGTTCGAGACCAGCCTGATGAACATGGAGAAACCCATCTCTACTAAAAATACAAAAATTAGCCGGGCATGGTGGCAGGCACCTGTAATCCCAGCTACTTGGGAGGCTGAGGCAGGAGAATTGCTTGAACCCAGGAGATGGAGGTTGCAGTGAGCCAAGCTCGCACCACTGTACTCTAGCCTGGGCAACAAGAATGAGACTGTGTCTCAAACAAAAATATATAAATAAATAAAATAAAATAAAAAAATAAACAAGACATAGCATTCACAGAAAATTTGAAGATGAACACAACTAAAGATCACCCAACAATTTAAGAAGGCCAATACCATGAAAGAAAGGAACCAAACTCAACAAACAAAATAGCCAATACCAGAGGAAATTGAGTTAATAGAGAAAAGAAATAGAAACTTTGAGAGAAAAATGGTTAATGAACTCAGAGAGGTAACAGAGATATGAAATCCATGACCCAAGAACAAGTGGTTATGAAAAGTAACCAATTAGAGAGATCATGGAAAAGAACTGGGATCAAAAATTTAGTAGCTGGGTCTTGAAATGCCAACATGAGGAGATGGAATTTAATCCTACTGTAATAAGAAGCCAGGGAAGAGTTTTATGCAGGATAGAGATGTGGAAGGTCATTCCAGCTGCTGTGTAAGGAAAGAAGTAGAAAGGGACAGAGTGGAAGTGGAGTGGCAGCTGATTAGGAGGCTCTCACAGTTGCTCGAGAGCTGCTGGTAGCTTGGACTAGGCTAGTGGGAGCAGAGATGGTGAAAATGGAGTGATTAAGGATGCAGTTTGGAAGTAGAATTATCTGGACCTGCATTTGTATTGGAGACGGGGGTCTCCCAGGCTTGTGGTTTGAACAACTGGGTGGGTAGTTGTGCCATTTACTGAAATGGGGAAGCTGAGGATGAAGGGGCTGGAGGGGAGTAACCAGAAGTTCAGTTTTGGGTGTGTTAAGTTTAACATAACCAAGAGCCTTCAGGTAGAAAGGCAGTTAGATATAGGTATCTGGGGTCAGAGGAGAGATCCAGGTATACAGATATTTGAGAGCTGTCAATGTATGAGTGGGATTTAGAGCCACGGAGGAGATGAGACCACCTAGGGAGGGGGTAGAAAGGAAAAGGATGTCAAGGAAGTCCAACATCAAGGAGCCGAGGGAGGCAGCACAGGCAGTAGAGAACACCAAGCAGAACTGCCAGAGTGCACAGTGGCATGGAAGCCAAGGGAACAGAACGCTTCAAGGAGAAAGAGGCCCACTGCGTCAAATGCTTCTGAGACACAGTAAGAACACAGACCCACCTACTGGATTTGGCACTACAAAAGGTGCTAGTGACCCTGACAGGAGTAGTTCAAGCAGATTAGAAGTGGGGGTAGTGGTTGTGGGGAGTCAGATTGGAGTGGGTTGTAGGGTCACTAGGAAGGGAGGAATCAGATGCAATGTATGTGGACCTAACAAGTCTGGCTATTTTAAAAGGACAGCTATGAAGGGAAGTAGAGGGAAATGGGAGGTATAGGGAAGTGAGAATGTGGGGTCAAGGAAACACTCCTGCCCTTTCTCTTAAGATCGTAAATACGGCCAGGCGCAGCGGCTCAGGCCTGTAATCCCAGCACTCTGGGAGGCCAAGGTGGGCGGATCACTTGAGGTTGGCAGTTGGAGACCAGCCTGACCAACATGGTGAAACCCCGTCTCTACTAAAAACACAAAATTAGCCGGATGCGGTGGTGCATGCCTGTAATCCTAGCTACTCGGGAGGCTGAGGCAGGAGAATCGCTTGAACCCGGGAGGTAGAGGTTGCGGTAAGCCGAGATCACGCCGTTGCTCTCCAGCCTGGGCAACAAGAGGGAAACTCCGTCTCAAAAACAAAAACAAAAACAAAACAAAACAAAACATCATAAATACTAGAGCATATGTGCCGATGCCAGTGTGAAGTGTCTGGATTTATCTAAGCACAGGTAGAAAGCTCCTCTGTAGGTGAAAGAAGGATATGACCAAGACCCCATGTAGAAGGAAGGGCTTTGATAGGAAGGGGGACACCTAGTCAAGGCCATTATTGGCTAAGAGTGAGTGGGGGGAATGGAGCTGTAGGAAGTCGAGGAGGGAGAAAAAGGTATGAAATAGTCATGGGGAGAATGGAAAAGCAAGAATTCCAGACAAAGGCCAGGCACGATGGCTGTTTTTTTTTTGTTCTGTAGAGACAAAACAATTTGTCTCTAC
This sequence comes from Homo sapiens, assembly GCF_000001405.40. Taxonomy (NCBI): domain Eukaryota; kingdom Metazoa; phylum Chordata; class Mammalia; order Primates; family Hominidae; genus Homo; species Homo sapiens. Next base: position 26,788,333 of record NC_000002.12, on the reverse strand, counting down.
AAAAAAGGTTTAAAAATAGTCAAGCATGGTGGTGCAGGTCTGTCATCCTAGCTATTCAGGAGGGTGAAGCAGGAGGACTGCATGAGCCCAGGAGGTCAAGGCTGCAATGAACCAAGATAGCACCACTGCACTACAGCCTGGATGACAAGAGTGAGACTCTGTCTCGAAAATTGAAGAAAGAATACCAGACAAAGGTGGTAGGACTGCCAAGAAGTGTTGACTGCCCATTTGAGATAAACCTTCCATTTAACCAGGAGTAGAAGGATGCTTCTACCTTGGAAAGCAACAGCAAACATCATACTTAATATTCCTGTTAAAATTACAAACAAGACAAAGATGACCAAAACACCACTCTTAGTGAGTCTCAGGGCCTTACTAGTACCATACAATAATAAATAAAATGTGTAGAAATGAAAACGGAAGATTCAAAAGTTATTTGCAGATGACATAATAGTCTACTTAAAAATTCCAACTGGAGCAACTAAAAACGACTAGGGTGAACGAGAATTCAGCAAGTTGGCTGGAAGCAAAGGTTAAATCCTCGTGTTTTGGGAAAGAAAAAAAATCCCATTCGCAACAGCAACATCTAGAAACAACCTACTCCAGCCTAGGCAACATGGCAAAATCCCACCTCTACTAAAAATACAAAAAATTAGCCGGCATGGTGGCATATGCCTGTAGTCCCAGCTACTCGGGAGGCTGAGCTGGGAGAAGCACCTGAGCCTGGGAAGTTGAGGCTGCAGTGAACCCTCGTGGCATCACTGCACTCCAACCTGGGCGATGGGTCTCAAAAAAAAAACAACAAAAAACCAAAAAGCCGGCCGGGCGCGGTGGCTCACGCCTGTAATCCCAGCACTTTGGGAGACCGAGGTGGGCGGATCACGAGGTCAGGAGATCAAGACCATCCTGGCTAACACGGTGAAACCCTGTCTCTACCAAAAATACAAAAAATTAGCCGGGCGTGGTGGTAGGCGCCTGTAGTCCCAGCTACTCGGGAGGCTGAGGCAGGAGAAGGGCGTGAACCCAGGAGGCGGAGCTTGCCGTGAGCGGAGATCGCGCCACTGCACTCCAGCCTGGGCGACAAAGCCTGACTCCGTCTCCAAAACAAAACAAAAAACCCAAAAAAGCCTGTAGGCACAGTGGCTCATGCCTGCAATCCCAGCACTTTGGGAGGCCCAGGCAGGAGGATCACTTGAGGCCAGGAGTTTGAGACCAGCCTGGGTAACACAGGGAGACCCAGTCTCTACAAAAAGCAATGAAACAAATAAACTACAATACACTTCCCATCTTCCTCATAGCTACGTAGCAAGAGTTAAGAGATAAGTAAAGCAGCTGTTGCCACCATGTACCATACAGGCATCTGCCTCCTCCTGCCGTTGGGTCTCCCATCCACCAGCCCACCATAGACAATTAAGACACAGACTTCGGCCCCTTTTCCCGGACACAAGCTCTGGAAGGCAACAGAGTGAGCAGCGCAGAGGGCCTCGGTTCAAGGCCTAACAGCCTCTCCCGGAAGGGAAAAAAAACCCCTGAAAGACACCTCCTAAGAGGACTCCTGTTTGAAATCGTCACCGAAAGCAGTCAATACTTTTGCAATTTAAAAATGCACAAACACAGAGGATTGGAAATCCCGTGTCCGCCAGAACACCAAGTTGTGTGACTCTGCTCAAGCTCTCTGGCCTGTGCCTCGGCTTTCTCATTAGCTGTAAAATGGGCACAATATGAAGCTGAGATAACGCACGAACAGTGGGAGGCAATGCCTGGTTGGCGGTGGGCGGTGGGCGCTGGGTAACCACTAGTCCTAACAAGAAGACGGCGTTAGGAGCCAAGTGGCTAAGCCGGTCCCTTCCCGCTTTCGGAACCGCCTGCTCCAGCCCCTCGCAGGGCTGGCACCGCCCGTGCCCGGAGCGGATGCCGGACGGCGGAACCGCGTTGTCCCCCAACAGGGAAGTGCCACGGGATCGGGACTCGGGAGATCCGGGCTCCGCCTGCGAGCCTCGGTTTTCTCCTCTTCGAGATGGGGCCGCGGCCGGTTACCTAAGGAGGGGCCCCGCCGGGAGGGGCCGGGGGTCGGGGTCGGGCTCGGGCTGCGCCTCCTCGGGGCCTCGGGCTTTCGGCTCCGGCGGCGCGGGCCCATGACACGCCGCAGAGGGTGCTGGCGCCCGGTCCCACGGCTCCTGCTCGGGCTGCCGGGTCCGGGAGCGAAAGGCTGGCTTCTGGGGAGCCCAGAGAACGCTGTGCCGCGAGCCTCACATGAGCCGGTGCTTGGCAGAAGTCCGCGCCGCTCGCGTTCAAATCGCTCGCTCCGCCCACTTCACGGCCGGCGTTTTTTAAAACCCGAATCCAGCGACTCCCAGTGGCTGACTCTGGAACGCCCCTTACGTAGAGCGACTGCAGGTAGGGCCAATGAGAGTATGCACCGAGACACAAATATAGCGGCGATGATAGGAGGACAGGGGAGACTGATGGTAAAATCAACCAATAGACAACTAAAGAGATGGGGCGGGAAATTCTCCTGCCCCCTGCTTGCCAATCTGGTTGCTGGTCTTTGCGGGACCGTACTGACGTCCTCAGGTGCCCTCCAGTCAAAACACCGAAGCTCAGTTTGGAACGTGGATGGTGTGTTTGTAGAACGTGCTTTCTAGAAAAGTCGCTTTCCTCAAACATTTTATGCTTTGCCTTAGCAACGCAGAGATGGCTTTTAAAGATGAGGAAACAGACCCATAGAGAATGTGACAACCCCGTGTCGTATCTGCGACTCTCCCAGGAACTATCCACAGATATACTCAGAATCCAGTTCAACTGCATAAACTTTGCTGACGCTTGGGGTCGCGGGGACGGCGGGATCGGCGGGGCTTTGAGAATAAGGTCCGGGCAGGGCAGGCCTCGGCACTATAGCAACGCAATCGTCCCAAAAAAATGCTCTCTTCCCTTTGTTGGGGATAATAAAAATTCAAGTCATGTCCCGGTATGTAGAATAAGGGGAATTTTAATTTTCTAAATTTTATTTCTTGCATTTTCTAAATGTTCTACAGTGAACATGTAATCAGGAAAAATGTTATAAAATTAGTGATTTCATGGAACCCTTGTGCATTGCTGGTGGGAGTGTAAAATGCTGCGGCTGCTGTGAAAAATAGTATTGGTGGTTCCTCAAAAAATCAAAAATAGAATTACCAGATGATCCAGTAATTCCACTTCTGGCTAAATATCCAAAAGAATTTAAATATAGCCAGGGACTTGAACAGATATTCTCACACCCATGTTGATAGCGGCATTCTTCACAACAGCCCGAAGGCAGAAACAGCCTGAATACACACCAACAGATGAACGGATAAACAAAATGGGGTGTATACCACAATGTTATTCAGCCTTTAAAAGGAAGGGAATTCTGACACCTGCTGCAACATAGATGAACCTTGAGGACGTTATGCTAAGTGAAATAAAGCAGTCCACCAAGGGACAAATGCTGGGCTGGGGTGCGGTGGTTCATGCCTGTAATCCCAGCGCTTTGGGAGGCCAAGTTGTTCGGAACCACTGAGTTCGAGTTCGAGTCCAACCTGGCCAACATGGCGAAACTCCATCTTGCCGAGCGTGGTGGCTCACGCCTGTAAACCCAGCACTCTGGGAGGCCGAGGCAGGCAGATCACCCGAGGTCAGGAGTTCAAGACCAGCATGGCCAACATGGCGATACCCCGTCTCTACTAAAAATATAAAAATTTGCCAGGTGCTGTGGCTCACGCCTGTAATCCCAGCTACTCAGGAGGCTGAGGCAGAGTTGCTTGAACCTGAAAGGCGGAGGTTGCAGTGAGCCGAAATCATGCCACGGCACTCCAGCCTAGGCGACAAGAGTGAGACTCTGTCTCAAAAAAAAAAAAAAAAAAAAAAGAGAAGGGGAAGGAGAAGGAGGAGAAGGAAGAAAGAAACCCCACCTCTACCAAAGATACACACACACACAAATTAGCCCGGGCGTGCAGATGTATGCCTGTCGCCCCAGCTACTCAGGAGGCTGAGGTGGGAGAATCGCTCGAGTCCAGGAGGTTGAGGCTGAACTGAGCCATGATTGTGGCACTGCACTCCAGCCTGGGCGACAGAGTGGCACCTCTCTCAAAAAAAAAGAAAAAAAAAAAGGACAAGGCCGGGTGTGGTGGCTCATGCCTGTATAATCCCAGCACTTTGGGAGGCTGAGGCCAGTGGATCATGAGGTCAGGAGATCGAGACCATCCCGGCTAACCTGGTGAAAACCCGCTTCTACTAAAAATACAAAAAATTAGCCGGGCGTGGTGGCACGGGCCTGTAGTCCCAGCTACTCGGGAGGCTGAGGCAGGAGAATTGCTTGAACCTAGGAGGGGAAGGTTGCAGTGAGCTGAGATTGTGCCACTGCACTCCAGCCTGGGCAATAGAGCAAGACTCTGTCTCCAAAAAAAAAAAAAAAAAAGGACAAATACTGTATGAGGTACCTGGAATAACGGAACTCATAGAGACAGAAAGTAAAATGGTGGTTGCCAGTGAGTAAGGGAGGAATGGGGAGTTAGTATTTAATAGGTGGGGAGTTTTAGTTTGAGAAGATGAAAAATTCTGGATATGGATGGTGGTGATGGTTGCACAACACTGTGAACGTGCTTAACGCCACTGAACTGTACACTTAAAACTGGTTAAAATGGTAAATTCTATGTTGTGTGTGTGTGTGTATATATATATATATATATATTAACCCCGCCCCACAACCGGGTCTTGCACTATTGTCTAGGCTGGAGTATAGTGGTGCAATCACAGCTAACTGCAGCCTTGAACTGCTGGACTCATGCAATCCTCCCACTTCAGCCTCCTGAGTAGCTGGGACTAACAGGAATGTACCATCACACTTGGCTAATTTTTTTTTTTTTTTTTTTTGAGATGGAGTCTTACTTTGTCACCAGGCTGGAGTGCAGTGGTGCGACCACCACTCACTGCAACCTCTGCCTCCCGGGTTCAAGCGATTCCCCTGCCTCAGCCTTCCAAGTAGCTAGGACTACAGGCGTGTGCCACCACGCCCAAAGTGCTGAGATTACAGGCGTGAGCCACCGCACCCTGCCACTTGGCTGATTTTTTAAAAAACATTTTGTGGTGCCATGGTAACTCTGGCTTATCATATAGCCCTTATTATATAGTCATGTATATATAATAAAGGCATTATACAGTTCCCATGCTTAACAATGGGGATATGCTCTGCGAAATGTGTTGTTAGACGATTTTGTCATTGTGCAATCATAAAGTGTACTTACACAAACCTGGATGGTATAGTGTATCACACACCTTGGCTATATGGTATAGCCTATTGCTCCTAGGCGACAAACCTGTGCAGCATGTTCCTGTACTGAATACTGTAGGCAACTGTAATGCAATGGTATTTGTGTATCTAACATATGTAACCTAGAAAAGGCACAGTAAAAAAACAGTATAAAAAATGGGCTGGGTACACTGGCTCACCCCTGTAATCCTAAAATTTTGGAAGGCCAAGGCAGGAGCATTGTTTGAGCCCAGTAGTTCGAGATCAGTCTGGGCAACGTGGTGAGACCCCATCTCCGCAGGAAATAAAAACAATTAGCTGGGCACGGTGGTGCATGCCTGTAGTGCCAGCTACTCGGGAGGCTGAGGCAGGAGGATCACTTGAGCCCAGGAGTTTAAGGCTACAGTGAGATAGGATCATGCCACTGCACCCCAGTGACAGCAACAGATCAAGACTCTGTCTCTAAAAAGAAAAATTTTCCTTCTTCAATAATAAATTAATCTTAGCTTAATGGTAACGTTTTAACTTTATAAGCTTTTGAACTGTAAAATTTGACTCTTGTAATAACACTTAGCTTAAAACACACACTGCAAGTATACAAAAACATTTTTTCTTTATATCTTTTTTTTTTTTTTTTTTTTTTTGAGACGGAGTCTCACTCTGTCGCCCAGGCTAGAGTGCAGTGGCCCGATCTCGGCTCACTGCAAGCTCCGCCTCCCAGGTTCACACCATTCTCCTGCCTCAGCCTCCCAAGTAGCTGGGACTACAGGCCCCCGCCACCATGCCCGGCTAATTTTTTGTACTTTTAGTAGAGACGGGGTTTCACCGTGTTAGCCAGGATGGTCTCGATCTCCTGACCTCGTGATCCACCCACCTCAGCCTCCCAAAGTGCTGGGATTACAGGCGTGAGCCACCGCACCCGGTTTATATCTTTATTTTTAAGCTTTTTTTTCTTTTTTGAGACTGAGTCTCACTGTTGCCCAGGCTGGAGTGCAGTGGCGTGATCTTGGCTCACTGCAAACTCTGCCTCCCGGGTTCAAGTGATTCTCCTGCCTCAGCCTCCTGAGTAGCTGAGATTACAGGCTTGTGCCACCATGCCCAGCTAATTTTTGTATGTTTACTAGAGACAGGGTTTTGCCATGCTGGCCAGGCTGGTCTCGAACTTCTGACCTCAGGTGAACCACCCACCTCGGCCTCCCAAAGTGCTGGGATTACAGGCGTGAGCCACCATGCCTGGCCTCTGGCTGCAGTATCTGTGGCAGAATGGGACAGGCGAGGATTGAGAACCAGGACATCTGGCTTTTGCCTGTTAACTGACTGTGTGACCCTTGGGAAGTTACTTCTGCTTTTTGGGTTTCTTCATTTGAACAATGAATGGAGGACTAGGTAATTGGTATGCTTTTCAAACATTGGAGAGATTTTCCACACCAACATTCTAGAGGCTAGCTCCAGACATCCTCTTGTGCCCCTTCTCTCTCATGAAAAATGTCCAGTACTGCTGATATAGTTTGGATGTGTGTCCCCACCCAAATCTCATATTGAAATGTAATCCCCAATCTTGGAGGTGGGGCCTAGTGGGAGGTGACTGGATCATGGGGGTGCATTTCTCATGAATGGTTTAACAGCATTCCACTTGGTACTGTCCTCTTGAGTGTTCTTGTGAGATCTGGGTGTTTAAAACGTGTGTGGCACCTCCTCCTGCGCCCCCTTGCTCCTACTCTGGCCACATAAGATGTGTCTGCTTCCCCTTTGCCTTTCCACTATGATTGTAAGTTTCCTGAGGCCTCCCCAGAAGCAGAAGCTACTATGCTTCCTGTATAGCCTGCAGAACTGTGAGCCAATTAAACCTCTTTTCTTTATAAATTAAATTACCCAGTCTCAGGTATTTCTTTACAGCAATTCGAGAATGGATTAATACAATTGCCAATTTTCCTTTTCTTTTTTTAAAAAATAAAAGCCAAAATAACACTTTTAAGATCCCAGGTTTTAGACAAGGCAGCTGTAGTCTCTCCATCATCCTCACTGTCCATTTGCTTCTTCCTGGGACAGACACTGTGGCCCAGTGAAGCTGAGGGGACCCTGGGATTCAAAGCTGGTGGAATGGACCCTCCCTCCCCCCACAAGCTGTAATAACCTGCTGGAATCCCACACAACCTGAGGGCTTCACTTGTCAACAGCTCCCTTCCCTCAGAGGCTATTTTGAGGCAGGCATTCGGTGTTTTATGACTGAGCTACCCAGGAGAATGGTTTGAGGCCACACTCAACTGTTCCAAGGAGCAGCACTGGACCAAAGGCTGCTTGGTTCCCTGCGGTTCCTGATGCCACCCCTTCTCTTCAGGGTGGTTACCTAGAAGACAACAGTACATGAGGCTTCCAGCCCAGCCCTAGGAGATCCATCCCAAAGACCCCACAGAGACCTGCATGGGAGGTGGGGCCACAGGTCTGGTATCAGGCAAACCTAGGTTGGAACACTGGCTCCATAAAGAGGAAGTCACTTAACCTTCTCTGGGGCATGGTTTCTTCATCTGTTCCCACCTCTGAAGACTATCGTAAGACAGAATGAAAGTTAAGCAACTTAACGCAACGCCCAGGATACCAGAATTATTCTAAATGGCAGAATCCTACTTAGTCTGTCATCTTGGGAGTTCTCTAGGCAGGCAGGTTGCCAGGGGTGGGGCTGAGATCCAGATGTGCTCTAGGTCCCTGTCTGCTGCAGAATCATGTGGCTGCTGGACCTGGGGGTCCCCCAGGTCCTTGCAGGAGCTGAGGGTAGGAGACTCCATTTGCCAAACAACTTAGAACTTTGGGCCTCAGTTTCCTTGTCTTTAAAAGGAACAGGTAAAGAATTCATAAAAACAATTGACAAGGGCTGCCTGGAATTTCCCTGTAATCTCTTCCAGGCAGAGGAGGCCTCAGAGGTGAGAGTAAGAGCAGGAAAACAGGGACAGGTTTCACTCTGTTGCCCAGGTGTGGTGGCTCAGGTCTGTAATCCCAGCACTTTGGGAGGCTGAGATGGGAGGATCGCTTGAGGCCAGGAGTTTGAGATCAGCCTGGGCAACACAGTGAGACCCATCTCTGCCAAAAAAATAAAACAATAAACCAGGCATGGTGGTACATACCTGTTAGTCTTAGCTACTCGGGAGGCTGAGGCAGGAGGACTGATTGATCCCAGGAGTTCAAGGCTGCAGTAAGCTGTGCCTGGGTGACAGAGCAAGACCCTGTCTCTCAAGAAAAAAAAAAAAAAAAAAAAAAGGCTGGGCGTGGTGGCTCATGCCTGTAACCCCAGCACTTTGGGAGGCTGAGGCAGGTGGATCATGAGGTCAGGAGATTGAGACCATCCTGGCCAACATGGCAAAACCCCGTCTCTATTAAAGAATGCAAAAAATTAGCCGGATGTGGTGGCACACGCCTGTAGTCCCAGCTACTCAGGGGACTTGCTTGAACCTGGGAGCGGGAGGTTGCAGTGAGCCGAGATCACACCACTGCACTCCAGCGTGGCAACAGAGCAAGACTCTGTCTCAAAAAGAAGAAACAAACAAACAACAAAAAAAACAGCACAGAAGGGTGGTGCTGTGGGCAGAGGGGTATTTCCAGTGGATGGGCTGTTACTGTTTTCTCAGGTTGGTCAAGATCACAGGCCCATGGAATGCTGGGGCCAGAAGGCACTAAGGCCACAGCATCAACATCTACTTCCCAGAGCATAACACCAAGGCCCAGAGCAACTGGGTAATGTGCTGGGAGCTACAATGAGTTTGAGGCAGAGTCTGGGCTAAAACCCATGTCTCCAGACGGGTTTAGGGAGGATCTTAGAAGTTTTAGAAAACATAATGCTTAGTTATGGCTGGGTGTGGTGTCTCACGCCTGTAATCCCAGCACTTTGGGAGGCCGAGGCAGGCAGATCACCTGAGGTCAGGAGTTTGAGACCAGCCTGGCCAACATGGTGAAACCCCATCTCTATAAAAGTTACCCAGGTGTGTTATGCACCTGTAATCCCAGCTACTCGGGAGGCTGAGGCAGGAGAATCATTTGAACCTGGGAGGCAGAGGTTGTAGTGAGCCGCCGAGATCGTGCCACTGCACTCCAGCCTGGGCGACAGAGCGAGACTCTGTCTCAAAAAAAAAAAAAGAAAATATAATGCTTAGTTCTGGTTTAAATTTGCTCACTGACTTTTCTTCTTTGAAGAATCAAATCTAGCTTATGACTCATAAACTAGATAACTATGATAATCTAGTTTATGATTCAGATACACTACGGTGGTAAATTCCTACAATTCAACTTCATGATTTAGCTCTAGTGCTGTAGGAGGGGTCCAGAGAGCTGAGGTCTGCCACTGCACTCAGGCTTGTGGGGGCTGGGTAACACCACCCTGCAGGTGGTAGTGAGAAAAAGAGGACTTGGGTGTTGTTATCTTCTGTGGCAGCAGCTGCCCTGGGGGTTCTGCAGGGAGGGGACAGGGTGAGGCCTTGGGGATAGGGCATTCGGGGCCCACCAGCCTGTGTGGCCTCAGTCTCAGGGAGAAGGAGCACCCGGGTGGCAGTAGAAGCCTCCAGGGAACCTCAGCTGGCATCATTGATGGGAGTGCGGGTGCCACCCAGCAGTCTCTCCTGCTCGCTCTCCTCTGCCAGGGGCCGGCCCCTGGACAGGCGGCCCAGCAGCGGACGGTGTAGCCCATTGTAGAGGGCAGTGCCTATAAGGAGTATGAGGAAGCCAAGGATCTGCAGTGCATGGAAGGCCTCCCAGCCCAGTGCCAGGCTCAGTGCCCAGATGACAACGGTGCGCAAGCTGTCCAACACCATGCGGGTGGTGGCGCTCAGTTCCTTGGTGACGCTGATGCCTGCGAAGTTGAAGAAGGCAATGCTGCTGATGTTGCCCAGCAGTGCCACGGCAATGAGCGGCTGCTGGCCCACCTGGCAGAAGGCGTCCAATGCATCCTCCAGTGTCCCACGAGGGTTTCCGCTGAAGGAGCCGGCGGGGATGTAGTACATGGGCACCAGCAGCAGGGAGAGGATCACAAAGCCAAAGAGGCCTGGGGAGTAGAGGAAACAGTTACACTCTCCACCTTCCCCCAGACCCCCAGCACAGCCCACCGGCTTAGCCTCCTCTGATCTCGGGTCATTCCCTCCCAGTGGTCCTCATGCCAGCTCCCTCCTTTCACGTCCCTCAGTCTCTCATCAGGAGCTTGTGGCCTATTAGATGGGTTCTAGCTGTCCCTTCTCCACTTTTACTCAGGGTTTTTTTGACTGGATCAAGAGTAAGAAATACATTTTATATTGTGACCCAGTACACGTGTGCACAGGTTCATGGACACACACACACACACACACTCATAAAAACATTACCCTTACAGTATACAATGCTCTGATATTTAAAAATTCTATTCATTTAAAAAAAGAACTGCCAGCTGCAACTGACTACATTATTTTCACAAGTTTGGAAAAACACAGCTTTCTAGTTCAGTGTGTTACTGGTCTGTGACAAGGAGCTTGCGCCAGAAGGTAAGTCCATGCACTGCTTCACTCATTAAGGTCTTGCTAGAAAACAGAAATGAGTGGAAATAGACTGCATGCTCAGTGATATAGCTAATTCACATTCTGCCTAAGTCCCTTAGCTCACCGGGGGCCAGACAAGAGCTGCTCCCCAACAGGCACTAGCCCCCAGGACATTCTTTGAAAGCGCAGCTGTATCTTGCTAATCTCATAATTTTGATACTTACTTCCCTGCTCAAAAACTTTCAGTGATTCCTCCGTCATTTAAAGTCTAAATCTACTTGCCTGATGGTAAAGTTCTCTAATGACATGACCCTGACCTACTTAATTCCTGATTATTTCCCCAACATCAAACCTATACTGCACTCAAATTATTATTTTTTGAGATGGAGTCTCGTTCTGTTGCCCAGGCTGGAGTGCGGTGGCGCAATCTCGGCTTGCTGCAGCCTCTGCTCCCCCAGTTCAGGCGATTCTCCTGTCTCAGTCTCCTGAGTAGCTGGGACTACAGGCATGCGCCACCACGCCCAGCTAATTTTTGTATTTTTTGTAGAGACGGTTTTGCCATGTTGGGCAGGCTGGTTTCAAACTCCTGACCTCAAGTGATCCACCCGCTTTGGTCTCTCAAAAGTGCTGGGATTACAGGTATGAGCCACCGCACCTGGCCACACTCAAAATTATTCCTCACTGGTTTTCAAATTCACATCCAGTCCCCTGTGCCTTTGCTCTGTTTGGAGCTGCTCCTACTACTGCCTGTTGAAATTTGCAGCTCGAATGCCACCCTCCCTGCCCTGAGAGACTCAGATAGGCATGGCCAATGAGACATCAGTTGAGCACAAGTGGTCCAAACTTGAATTCACTGACTGCCCTTTCTTCCTGCTGGTCACCTCCTCTGAAGGGCTTGCATCTCATTCATCTCTGTCCTTGGTCTCCTCTAGTTCCTGACACAGCAGGTGTCAGAAGACTTGTCAAAACACATCTGGAAGGCAAGGCGGGGCAGGAAGTTCACCCCCCACAAGTGAACCCTGGCACCTTGTCCTGTGCTCAGCTCCCCAGGCTCCCTTCTACCCCACTCCTTCCAGGCCCCTGTGCCCACACACACCCTCAGTGCCAACTGCCCGCAGTGGGTGCACATTGTGTTTGTAGACGAACTTCTCCTCTAGCACCATCTGGATGGCAACGATGATCTGGGCCATGATGATCAACAGGTCCCCTGTGGGGAAGGAGGGACCCAGATGAGAACAGGGCTGCACTGGGGCTGGGGGCCAGGAGAGCATGGCCACAGCGACCAAACATGCCAGCCCCTGACCTCTGCAGGGCCCCCTATAGTTCATAGGCACAGTCACCACTGCCTGTCCCTGATTCCCTGGTTCCTGAGGGGCATGCCAGCAGTGCCAGGCTAAGGCCCCAGAGGCCTGCCTGTGTCTAAGAGCTGCCCCACGGGGTATGACGCAGGTCTTTCAAGAAGCAACAGGCTTTGAGATAGACATTTCTTGGTTGATCCTGACCCTAAGTGACCCAGGACAGTCATTTCATTGTAAAATGGGCTGTGATGCATCCGTTTGGGGCCTGTGGGAGTCACTGTGATGATGAACACACAGTGCTCAGCACCAGGCTGGGCACTTGGTAAGCACCTGTTCCTTTCCACTCCCAAATCCAGTAGTTTGCATGTCTGCATCTGTATCAAAGGACAAGCCAGCCCCTCGCCCTGCCCGGCCTGCCACTCATCCTTGGTGGAGCCACATCCCTTTGCAGTCTTCCCTACATTCTATCCATCACCTCCAGAGCTACCCACCTCACCCAGGGCTTGGTATATGGCACATGGCAGAGCTTGTATGAGTCTGTGCTGGGCTCCCAAGGAGGACAGGGCAGGATAGGGCAGCCCCGTGTCCCTGCCCCTGGCCGCACCTGTGATCACTTCGCTGAGCTTGTGCTGACTGTCGTGCTTGCTCAGGAGGTCAGCCAGGCCCACGACCACCAGCCCCGCGATGGTGGCTAGGATGCCCAGCCACTGGCTCAGCACCAGCCTCCGGCCCAGGAAGGCCACCGAGAACAGGCCAGTGAATATGATCACTGCACCCCGCAGCATCTGGAAGCTGGAGGCACTGGTCATGTTCAGAGCTAGGAAAGGAGAAACAAATTACAGTTAGCTTCCCAAGGCGAAGGCCATCTGTCACTAAGGGGTCTTTGGTGATAGACATGCCAAGCTCATAGTAAGCGCTCGATCAGTCCTGCCTGTGTGCCTGTGCGTGTGAAGTCTGGGGGAATGGTGGGATGAAGTGGAGGTGGGTGGGATAGGGCTGTTTCACCAGTAGCCCCTTCAGCCACAGCTTCCCCTGAGCCCTTCTCAGCCTGGCCTGGTTACTCACCCACATACATGAGGCTGGTCCCTGTCATGTCACAGAGCGCTGGGGGCAGGAAAAGAAGAGGGTTGAAGGGCTGCTGGGGGTCTACGCTGGAGTCTGATTGCCCTGCAGCTCTGCATCGGAGGAGGTAGAAGGCAGCCAGGCAGGAGAATTCTCCCAGGAACATGCCCACTGCCTGCAGGGATGAAAACCCGAGGACTTCAGAGCTGGAAGGGATCTCGGGGATCATCTTTAACTATTTTTTTTAATGCAAACTTTTGTCAAACAAGAGCTTACCCAGAACCCCAATATGTAAAATAGACAAATGCAGAGCTGCCATGGAGGCTAGAGACAGCCTCCTAGGTCTGCCCCAAAGCCCCCATACATCCTGATGAACCCTAAGGCTGTGCAGAGCCCTGTCTGAAAACCATCCATCTAGGCCAACCCCTAGTCAAATCGCAGGTGGAGAAGCCTAGACCCAAGAGAGGCTCAAAGACTTATGTAAGGCCACAAAGCAAGTTGCTGGTAGAGCTGGGGCTGACATTTGAGTCTCCTGATTCTCAGTTCAACGAACAGTGTCTTCCATTTATGGTGTCTGCCCTGTCCCAATTGGGGTCTGGGCTCCCAGTGGATAGAGAGCTGACTTTTGTCACTAGGGCTGATGTTTTCCACGTGTCCTGACTTGGATGTGGTGAGGACATGACCACTTGCCAGGACTTTCGCAGAGGATGGTGCTCTTTGCCCTATTCTAAACCTTGGATTCTGCTCTGGGGAGGGAAAGAGAGAAGTGGATGGCTCTTCTGGGAGCAGGAGACACCTCCACTCCTAAGTCAGGAAACAGCCTGGCCTCATGGCCGGGGGTGGCGCCTGGTCTGAGGCCCGGGAGACAGGAGGTAGGAGGGACAGGGCCAGATACCTGGAGGAAGGGATGCTGGAAGCTGTGCTCCTTGCTCCCTCCACAGCCCTCGGCCATGAAATTGTCCGCCCATCTGTAGGAGAGAGAGGGAAGGTCAGACCCTGTCAGCATCCTACCCTGGTGCTAGTGAAGAGGCTCACACCTCTCAATGTCAAGAGGCCCAGACCTGGGTGACCCGGCCCCAGAGTGGGGCTCCCTCTCAAAGGGGTCAGTCTTCACCTCAAGGAGTTTTAACTTGGCATTTCCTCAAGTCACTGTGTCTGTGCCTCTGTAATGCACAGAAATCACAGATACTCTCATGATCACATTACAGTCATTGTATATATCGTGAGGTATCATTTACACTCATCACTCATGAACATTACAGTAGTCAGACCCACTTATAACAATGTAGTAGAAAGCATTTCTATATAGCTGGGCGCAGTGGCTCACGCCTGTAATCCCGACACTTTGGGAGGCTGAGGTGGGTGGATCACTTGACGTCTGGAGTTCGAGACCGCCTGGCCAACATGGTGAAACCCCGTCTCTACTAAAAATACAAAAATTAGCCGGGCGTGGTGGTACAAGCCTGTAATCCCAGCTACTCAGGAGGCTGAGGCATGAGACTCACTTGAACCTGGGGGACAGAGGCTGCAGTGAGCCGATATTGCACCACTGCACTCCAGCCTAGGTGATGGAGCAAGATCCTGTCTCAGAAAAAAAAAAAAAAAGCATATCTATATATATTCTATATCACGAATTTGCTTTTTTAAGTGTTTGATAACTGTATTTCAATTTAATTGACTTCTTTTGTAATCCTTGGTCTTTTTTTTTTTTTTTTCTTAATGGAGTCTCGCTCTGTCGCCCAGGCTGGAGTGCAGTGGCAAGATCTCGGCTCACTGCAAGCTCCGTCTCCCGGGTTCACGCCATTCTCCTGCCTCAGCCTCCTGAGCAGCTGGGACTACAGGCGCCCGACACCACGCCTGGCTAATTTTTTTTTGTATTTTTAGTAGAGACGGTGTTTCACCGTGTTAGCCAGGATGGTCTCAATCTCCTGACCTTGTGAACCACCCTCCTCAGCCTCCCAACGTGCTGGAATTACAGGCGTGAGCCACCGTGCCTGGCCCAATCCTTGGTCTTATTTACACGTTTTAAAACATTACTGTAAGAAGAGGTCCATAGGCTGTGCCAGACTGTCAAAGAGTCCCATGGCATGAAAAATATCAAGAACCTCTGGTCTACAGGAGTATTTGGGTCCTGGGAAATGACTTAATACAGACCACCTGCTCACCTTCAAAAAGCCTGAATGGTTTGGAAGATCTTTCTAATGCTGACTTTCAAGCAGGTGGCAAAGACATCACACTCATGGCATGACCTCCCAGTCAGCACCCGGCAGATGGTGATGACTGATTATGACATACTTCCCCGATGAGCCTAGACACAAGCCCAGAATCCTTTGTGGCATAGTGCTTTGGGCAGCTTAACCACCAATCACTCTGAACTGTCTGCCATCTGTGCATGAAAATTCTCTGTCTTGAATTTCGTCTTTGCTGGGCTTGGTTAGGTCTGTGGAATCTTGTCTAATCTTTCATTTGAAAGCCCTTTAGGTACCTGGGGACTTGTTGACCTTCTTCTGAATCTTCTCATCTCCTGGCTAAACAGCTCCAGCCTCTCCTAACCTTTCACCCCTGGCCACTGACTTCTGGAAGTACTCTGGTGTACCCAGGCCCAGAGCCAAGAGCATGTGATCTGGCCCAGACTGAGGCTAGCAAGGCGTGGCCCTCCCTCATGTTGACACCCTGGGTTCGTTGACACAGCTCCAAATGCATCAGTAACATCATGTGCTGACTGAAGTCAACACAGTCCCAGAGCCGTTTCCTGTGGGCCACCGACCTGCTCCCACTGCAGCATATCCTGCATAGGCAGTGGATGTCTTTAAAGTGCAAGACTCGGGACTTCTTTTTATTAAATGCCTTTCCTTGAAATGTCTTTCCAGGGCAGTCAGATTGCAGTGCACAGCCCTGCACTGCCATTGGCTCATCTCTGTAGCGAGCCTCAGCTCCCAAAGGGCGGGGGAGTCCTCTGGTTCCTGTACCTCCCCCGCAGCACCCAGAGCATGTGCCACTGGTTGTGCCGCAGTTAGGGTCTAGGTTTGACAAAGTCCCTGTCCAGCTTTGGCTTCTCTATATGCCTCTGAGTTTGCGGAAGAAAACAGGGCTATGGCAAACCTATTCCATAGTGAGAGACCCCACCAGCTCCTGGAGATGTGGAGAAAGAGGGGTAGTTAAGATTCCTTGTGGTTCTTGGGAATGGCAGGGGCAAAGGAGAGTTGAAGGGAGAAGTTCGGACAGAACTGTTTAGAAGGCAGAGAGAAACCTGGAGCCTGGCATGGCTTGGGGACCAGGCTGTAACCAGTACCAGTGGGGCAAAGAAAGCGCCTGCTATGGAACAGGGAGTCTGGGAGCTGGGGAAGCCTCCACCCCAGGTCAGGAAACACCTGACCTCATGGGCTGGAGTCTCACTTCTTTCTCTTTTTTTTTTTAGAGAGAGGGTCTCACTATGTTGCCATGGCTGGTCTTGAACTCCTGGGCTCAAGCAATCCTCCCGCCTCAGCCTCCTGAGTTGCTGAGATTATAGGCATGAGCCACTGCACCCATGGTGCCTAATTTCTGCCTGATATGCTGTTGGCTCTTGGATCCCTGGCCAGGACAGGACATGGAACATGGGTAAGGGCCACAGACCCAGCAGGGCTGCTCTCGAACCCAGTCTTGCTTTTGCAGAAAGAGCCCCCTGAGAAGGCCTGCATGAGGCAACTGAGTGAAACAGAGGCAAAGCAAGGAAGAGAGAAGAGGTCAAGCCTTACCAAGGGCACAGAGCCAACTGCCCAGAGCAAGTGAAGTCAGAGAGATGGGAATCCCCAGGCCAGGAGCCAAGTTTCCTCTAGGAGGGACAAGGGAGCTATTGCCAGGCCATGAAGGTTGATCAGAAGCTTCAGGCAAGGATTATTATTTATTTTATTATTATTTTTGTCTGTAGGGGGCAGGTATGGAAGCTGAGGCCACATTTCCATGAGTCCTACTTCCCACCTGAGTCTGAGGGCCCCCTGCTGGTAGAACAAGTTGGTCCATAGGGGAAACCCCTCGGGGCCTGTCCTTCCCCAAGGCTGGGGCGCTTCTTGGGGAGCTGACTGTAGGGCTGGTGCTGAGCTCCCCACCTCCCACAGGGGTTGTCTTCGCTTTCTCCACGGGTAGGTCTGCCTAGACAGGCCTGGCTGGCAGCGCTCCCGGCTGGGGAAATGGTATCTCTTTGTATCTGAGGGCCTGGGGCAGGCTGACAGCCCAAGGGATTGGGTGTCAGCAGCATGGGCTGCCTTGCCCAGCCTGAGATGCTCAGGCCTGCAGGTACCTTGGGGCAGAAAGCCAGGCTTCTCATCCTGGAT
Source organism: Homo sapiens (assembly GCF_000001405.40). Taxonomy (NCBI): domain Eukaryota; kingdom Metazoa; phylum Chordata; class Mammalia; order Primates; family Hominidae; genus Homo; species Homo sapiens. Next base: position 26,770,905 of record NC_000002.12, on the reverse strand, counting down.
TGGAGACAGGTTTCGACTCCTGGCGCAGAATCAGAAAAGACCCCAGCCTCACAGGCTAGAACAAAAATCCAGCCCCAGTTTGCCTGGGGATGACAGCAGTGACCCCTAAGGTGGGCAGCACTTTGCTGTCAGTTCTTCACAACGTTTGTTGTTTGTTGTCTTTTGTTTTTGTTCTTGTTTTTTTTTTTGAAACGGAGCCTCCCTCTGTCACCCAGGCTGGAGTGTAGCAGCGCGATCTTGGCTCACTGCAACCTCTGCTTTCCAGGTTCAAGTGATTCTCCTGCCTTAACCTCCCAAGTAGCTGGGATTACGGGCACCCACCACCATGCCCAGCTAATTTTTATATTTTTTGTAGAGACGGAGTTTCACCATGTTGGCCAGGATGGTCTCGAACTCCTGACCTCAAGTGATCCACCCGTATCAATCTCCCAAAGTGATCGGATTACAGGTATAAGCCTCTGCGTCCGGCCAACAACGTTTGTTTTTTTGTTTTGTTTTTCAGACAGGGTATTACTCTGTCACTGAGGCTGGAGTGCAGTGGCACAATCACGGCTCACTACAGCCTCAGCCTCCCAAGGCTCATATGATCCTCTCACCTCAGCCTCCTGAGTAGCTGGGACTACAGGCATGGGCCACCATGCCCGGCTAATTTTTGTATTTTTTGCAAAGATGCAGCCTTGTTTATGCTGCCCAGGCTAGTCTCGAACTCCTGGCCTCAAGAGATTGACCTGCCTCAGCCTCCCGAAGTGCTGGGATTACAGGTGTGAGCCACTGCACCCAGCCCATGTTTCCTTAAATGCACAATTCATAGGACACTTCATGGGGACTGTCCCGTTAAGCCTTACAACAAGGATCCTCATTTTAGATGGGGACTCTGAGGCTTAAGGCAGATCCAGGGTTAAACCTTGCTTGAATTTATACTCAGAAAAGGCAGAATACAGAGAAAACCCAGAGTTTTGAGTCCCACAGGCTGGACAAGTTACAGGGTAATCATACCAACACTGACAAACTGTCAGAAGCAATACATGATATAAGGATATATACATGACCTGGCACATGGCAGGTATTCAGCAAAACTCATTTTCTGCCCCTTCTCCTTTCCCTTCACTGAGCAGAAGCCATCTCCCCCTTGGGTTCAGCGTGGCCCCAGCTCCCCTTCAGCCTGAAAGCTACTGGAAAAACGTCTGGAACCTGTCCTGCTGGCTGAGGCAGAGGTGGCTGGAGGGACCTCAGGCTATTGTCCCTGCAGTTCACAGAGCCAAAATGCTGAAACAGAAGAAACTCAGCCATCAGCTGAACTCCTTATTTGACAGACAGGAACCCAGGGGCCAGAGAGGGCTCGAGGGGCTCACGGCTCCTCAGATGTTGAAACAGGGCCAGTACACTGGAAGCTCAGCAGGCAGTCATGCGCCCCCTCCCTGATGCTCTGAAGCTCTCCTCTGAGTTCTTGCTCCCCTAGCTGGTGGGAGGAGAGGGGCAGCCCAGTAGGTGGGCCTGTCTTCTCCACAGACACTGTATTCTAGGGGAGATGACCTCCAGGGCAGGAGGCCCGAAGGGTCCTAGCGGGGACAAGCTGAGGCCGCTCCTTTTGGCGGGCAGGCTGGGGAGTAGGCTCTCCGTGCTGGGTGGTGAGTCACTCCCTAGCATGGCCAGGCCCAAACTCAAAGCTCAGCATTCTGGGAGGTGTGCACGTCCACGTGAACGGGGGTGGCGAAAACAGACTGAGGAAGTGGCGATGGGGCTGGCTTGGGCAGATTAGCTGTGGCCATTCCCACAGAATCTCTGCCACTTCCTCTTGTGTCCCCAGCTTGTCAAGCCCAGTGAGTCCCCTTCTTTCTCCTGCCTGGGACCTACAGAAGGGCCAAGGCTTCTCCACTCTCTGGGGTGCCACAGCAGGTGGCCCTGGCTCCTGAGGTGACAATGGTGAGCCCTCTCATCTCCATGGAATGGAAAACTTTCCTTAAGCTGGGTGTGGTGGTGCATGCCTGTAATCCCAACACTTTGGGAGGCTGAGGCAGGTGGATTGCTTGAGCCCAGGAGTTTGAGACCAGCCTAGGAAACATGGCAAGACGCTGTCTCTACAAAAAATACAAAAATTAGGTGGGCACGGTGGCGGGTGTCTGTGGTCCCATCTACTTGGGAGGCTGAGGTGGGAGGATGGCTCAAGGTTGCAGTGAGCCTAGATGGCACCATTGCACTCCAGCCTGGGCAACAGAGAGAGACCGTGTCTTAAAAAAAAAAAAAAAAAAGGCTGGGCACAGTGGCTCATGCCTGTAATCCCAGCACTTTGGGAGGCCGAGATGGGCGAGGTCAGGAGATCGAGACCATCCTGGCTAACACAATGAAACCCTGTCTCTACTAAAAAAATACAAAAAAATTATCCGGGCATGGTGGCAGGCACCTGTAGTCCCAGTTACTCAGGAGGCTGAGGCATGAGAATGCGTTCACCCGGGAGGCGGAGCTTGCAGTGAGCTGAGATCACACCACTGCACTCCAGCCTGGATGACAGAGCCAGACTCCGTCTCAAAAAAAAAAAAAAAAGGAAACCTTCCTCAGTAGATCTTCAGTGTCCAGGAAGAAGGTACGGCAGGGATCACCAAGTCCATTTTACAGATGAGAAAACTGAGGCTCACAGAGGTCCAGTGGCTCATCTATTCCTCAGGTCCCAAGCCTCATGAACTTCCCACTCTACTACACTGTCCTCCTGAGTTAAGGCTTCCACAAGCTGGCCCAACAACCCCTTTGAAGCAATTATCCCATGCCAGTTCATGGAACCCAAGGGTGGTGGGGCAGCTGCCAAGGGCAAACATTGGAGCTGGCACAGAAAGGACACAGAAGAAGAGCAAACACCTCTTCTCTAGTAGAGGCCTAGTGGTTTCCAGGCTTCCTGCCACCTTCTTGGCAGGGTCCCTGGCCTGGGCATGAAAGGAAGTCAGGCTCATATCCCTGCCTGGCTGGGAGGGCCCTACAGCCTGCAGAACTTAGGAGGGGAGCTGAGCCTTACTTAGTGAGCATCTACTTGACCCTGGCTCTATTAATTAATTATTTATTATTATTATTTGTAGAGAACGAGGTCTCCCTATGTTGTCCAGGCTGATCTTGAACTCCTGGGCTCAAATGATCATCCCACCTCAGCCTCCAGTCTGGGATTACAAGCTGGAGCCACAGTGCCCAGCTGACCCCGGCTCTTCATATGTAGAACCTCAGTTGGATTCAGGAGACTGGGGTTCTGAAATGAGTACCTGTGGATGGGGCACTGGCTCACGTAGACAGAAATGGCTTGGCCTAAAGAAGATGATCGACAGAAGGTGCTAGTGAGGAGGTTTTGAGAAAACAGCCAGGGAAAGAAGAAGCCACTTCACAGGGAGGGGCCCCCTGCCAGGACCCAGGGATGGGGCCGCAGAGAGGAAAGCTGACCTGCCGCCCCAGCACAGCAGGCAGCACGTGCTCAGATGTGCTTCCTCATCCACTGCCTTTCATCCTCCCAAGAACCTGGGAAGGGAAACATCACTCTTGTCACAGGCCAAGAAACTGCCAGAGACAACCACAGGCTGTCAGTCTGAACCTTGAGTGGCCTGGACTCCAGCGGGAGGACCCTGTCAGCAGTGTCTCTGGGCTGGCTGAGAGGCTGGCAGCCCAGTCCTGGAGAGAGGCACATCAAAGGCTGGGAGCGCAGATGCCACTTACAGGTTTACAACTTCCACAAGCACAGGCTTCTCTGTCCTGGCCTGGGGAGCTGTGAGAGGAAACTCCCAGGAAGGAGGGACTCTGGGGTATCACAGTCATAAAAGAACAGGACTTAAAGTCCTGAGGCCTGGGTTCCAGCCTTCATTCAGACACCAAACAGTTGAATCACAGAAAGAAACTTCTCCTGAGGCCTCCTTTGTAAATTGTGGGGATTAGACTGGATGATTTCTATGCTTTTAACAACTCTAAATGACCCCAAAATGACTGGAGAAGTCCCCAGCCACACCCTCCAGTGGTGGTTAAGAGCATGGATGCTAGAGCCAGACCATGCTGGCTCAACTATAAACTCTGCCACTTAGTAGCTAAGTTGAACTTGGGCAAGGAATTTAATCATTTCCTACCTCAGTTTCCTTATACAGGAATATCAGCCCCTGTCTTTGCCTGATAGGGTGGTTATGAGAATTCCCTGAGTTCACACATGAAAGGGCAGAGCAGGGCCTGGGGCATGCGAGGTGCTCTTTGTGCATGAGATGCTTCTGCTAGTTGTCAGCACATGCTTGTCTGTCTGTGCCTGCTGGAAATCGTGGGTCAAAAATGTGATTTCCTTTTATTTTTTTTTTTGAGACCGAGTCTCACTCTGTCACCCAGGTTGGAGGGCAGTGGTGCAATCTTGGCTCATTGCAACCTCCGCCTCCCGGGTTCAAGCAATTCTCCTGTCTCAGCCTCCCAAGTAGCTGGGACTACAGGTGCGCACTACCACGCCCAGCTAATTTTTGTATTTTTAGTAGAGATGCAGTTTCACCATATTGGTCAGGCTGGTTTCAAACTCCTGACCTCAAGTGATCCAGCCGCTTCTGCCTCCCAAAGTGCTGGGATGACAGGCGTAAGCCACCGCGCCGGGCCAGAAATGTGATTTCAAATCCATACTTCACATCGGGGTGCATGCAGCTGCTCCCACATGTTCTTTCTCCCTAAGAGTATCCCTTCTTGTGGTTTGACCTTAGAACACTGTTTAGGGTCCAATTTGGGGGCCCATCTTGGGGTGGGAGGATCCTGAGAGGCCCCACACCAGCTGTCAGGCAGGGGACAGGACCAAAAGTTGGGTCTGTCACCTGGGAGCCTCTTTCCTGACTCTCAGGCAGCCTTTAAAGGCGACGCCTTCTGGGATTGAGGATCTCTAAGCTTCCTACCTGACTGGTTTGGAGTTTTCTAAGGAAGGAGGTGAATCAGCACAGTTTACCCCAGCAGTAACTGGCAATCTGGATTCTCCTTGTGGGCAGCAGCCCTGGTGGACTTACAACCGCTCTCTAAGCACTTGACAGAGGCCCTGGCTGGCATGACAGAACAGAAGACTTGCTTTGCTGTGTTCAGATCCTGAGATGGGAGCCCTCAGGCTGGGGCCTCTGAACAGCTAAGGATTCAGCATGAGGAGTGATCCTCAGGAGGATGCAGGGCCTGGGAAGCTAGTAGTTCTCCACAAGGCACAGTTGGCCAGAGGTGAACCAGAGGAACAGGTGGGGCCCACCCAGGACTCCACTGACTGTGCCCACCGTTTGGGGAAGGGAGAACACTGTGACTGTCGTGTGCGTACACGTCTGTCTCCTCCACCTCAGATTCCAAGCATCTCAAAGGCAGAGATCGCCTCTTGGTCACTTCTGTCCCCTTCCCTTACACACCGTAGGTACCTTATACATGGGATCGTGCCATTGCACTCCAGCCTGGGCAACAAGAAAAGGAGGGGCAGGAAGGCCCTGCCCTGAGATGGAGACAGAGAGAGACAAAGAAATGCCATCCTGCCCACAACAGAGGGGAGGCTAGGCCCTGTCCCTCAGTCTCATGACTGCCTGGGTCCTTAGTCCCTAACCTCCTGGGAACTGTCCCCCCTCTCACCCCCATACATCAGAGCTGAACTGGCCACTTGCCCTCTCTGTCTGAGTTAATGGCACTTTTCTTCTCCCAGGCAGAAACCCTGGAGTGATCCTTGTTTCTTGCTCATGTGGGTCAGGCCTGTGGCCATTCACACCTGGTCTCTGCCACCAGTTGTCCCTTCCTTTCTCTTCTCACTGCCACCTCCTAGTTCCCCTCATCTGCTATGCAGCAGCCTTGGAGTGGTTTTTCCTGCACCAAACCACTCCTCATGTCATTGAGTCAATCATATCACTTTCAACATGTCATTCCCCAGCTCAAAAGCACTTTTCTGATTATGAGAGAAAATCTAACCTGGGCATTTGATGCTGGTTACAATCGACTTTGATCTGGCCTTTCCGTAGACTTTCCTTGACTTACAGTCTCAGACACATTCCGAAATCCCACCTAAGCTTCAAAGCACAGCTCTAACCCCTCATCCTTGAGGGGCCGTGGGGCACCTCCCTGTCTGCCGCTTGAGGCCTCCACGCTCACTGGGTCACTCGGCCTGCACAGCCACTACTGCGGCTCATGTGCACAAGTCCAGGGGTCTCTCCCAGCTCGTGGAGGGAGGTGCTCAGGCTTGGACGCCAGCACTGGAAGGGCCGTGGAAAGGAATCGGCCAACCCTCCTGTTAAAAGACGTGGAAACAGGAGCGGAGGCTGTACAGCAAATCAAAGCCGGGGCTCGGATCCCCCCGTCCGGGGCGCAGCCCCGCTCCGCATTTCCCCGGGCCTCGCATCCCTTGGGTGGTCATAACGCGCGCGAACTGACCGGAGCAAGTGGGAAAGCAGGGGAAGCCAGGAGGGCAGGGCCAAGAAGGGGGAAGGCGTAGAACGAGCGCCGGGGTCGCCAGGGCCCGCACGCCCGGCAGGGCCCAGACTCACTTTGCCGAGAGCGTGTTGATGGAGCCGGTAACAAGCATGAGCCCGGCCAGGAACAGCTGGTACTTGGTCCAGGCCATGTCGGCGGACGCTGGGGTTCGCTCCAGTTAGCGGCGCCGGGCCCCGTCACCCGGGGTCTCCTGCGCGAGCGCTTCCGGGCCGGGCGTCACGTGACCCCTCCTGCTCGCCCCGCCCCCGGGGAGCGCGCCTGAGCCACGGTGCCCGCGCTCTGCCGAGTCGTCCTGGAGCGCTTTGGTGGCCACGCCGTGGCCCTGGCAAATCACGGCCCAGGCCTTCCAGTTTTTTTTTTCTTTTCTTCCTCACTCTCCCCCGCCTTTTTGGGTTTCTTTTTTCTATTTTTTTGAGAAGGAGTCTCACTCTGTCGCCCAGGCTGGAGTGCAATGGCATGATCTCGGCTCACTGCAATATCCGCCTCCTGGGTTCAAGCGATTCTCCTGCTTCAGCCTCCCGAGTAGCTCGGATTACAGGCGCCCTTCACCACGCCCGGCTAATTTTTTGTATTTTTAGTAGAGACAGGGCTTCACCATGTTGGCCAGGCTGGTCTCGAACTCCCGACCTCAGGTGATCCGCCCTCCTCCGCATCCCAAAGTATTGGGATTACAGGCGTGAACCACCGCGCCTGGCCTTGGTTTCTTATTTTTATCTTTGGGTCTTCCTATTTGTAAAAGGGGCGGATGGGACAGTGCAGTGAGGGTGCATCGTGGCTATTACAGCATTTTGTGAATCGTTTTGAGAGGTTGAGCTGGGCGGTGTCAGAAAGGAGCCCTGAAGTGGGCCTGCCGGGAGTTCCTTGGGGACCCTGTAGAGAGGAGATTCCCACGCTGGACGTTTCCACTTCGGGGCTCCTATCTGATACCGCCCACCTTGGGCACAGTTCATATCTTTCAGCAAAGTGGCGAAGGCATCTAGCTCCAGTTGCCGAGGACACCATTTTATAGCTGAGGACAGTAAATTCAGCGAAGCAGAGTGATTTGCTTAAGAACCTGCTGGTGAGCAGTGGGGTAGGGATTTGCGCTTGGGTTCTCCAGTCTCCAAAAATCCGTGCCTTCCGCATGGCCTCTGCACCAAGCCCTGCTTCACTGCTCCTTTGTGGACTTTCTGGTCGCAGCTGAGGCATCCAGGCAGAAAGACCATCCCTAGGTTTGTTTGAAGAGGGTGTTGACGAAGAGTCACACTCTAAAATATTTGAAGGGATTTATTCTGAGCCAAATATTTGTGACCATGGCCCGTGACACAGCCCTCAGGAGGTCCTGAGAACATGTGCCCAAAGTGGTCGGGGCGCAGCATTTTAGAAAGACACGAGACATCAATCAAATACATTTAAGAAATACATTGGTTTGGTCCAGAAAGGTAGGACAACTCAAAGCCGGGAGGAGGGGAGAGGGTGGGGCAGGAAACGGGAAAAATATCTATCTATGTTAATAGAGATTTTTGTTTTTTTTTGAGACGGAGTCTTGCTCTGTCGCCCAGGCTGGAGTGCAGTGGTGCGATCTCGGCTCACTGCAACCTCCACCTCCCGGATTCAATCAGTTCTCTGCCTCAGCCTCCCAAGTAGCTGGGACTACAGGTGCCTGCCACCACGCCTGGCTAAATTTTGTATTTCTAGTAGAGATGGGGGGGGTCTCACCATGTTGGCCAGGCTGGTCTTGAACTCCTGATCCACCTGCCTCGGCCTCCCAAAGTGCTGGGATTACAGGCGTGATCCGCCACGCCCGGCCGGTAATAGAGATTCTTTACAGATGCAAATTTTCCCCCACAAAAGACAGATTTGCAGGGCCATTTCAAGATATGGCAAAGAAAAATGTTTTGGGGTAAAATCTTTTGACTTTCTTCTTAGTCACATAATATTATGCCAGAGTCAGATTGGAAAGTAAGTCATGATATATAGGGTTAAATAAAACCCATCTGATGAGAATTTATGGTTTGTAGGGCATGACTCTCCAGACCTCTTAGGTAGGAATTTGGGCAAGGTAAAAAAAATCAGAGCTTAGTCCTCAAGGGGTTCTGGTGTTTAAAATCCTACTCTTGGCTGGGTGTGGTGGTTCACACCTATAATCCTAGCACTTTGGGAGGCTGAAGCGGGCTGATTGCTTGAGCTCAGGATTTCCAGACAAGCCTGGGCAACATGGCAAAACTCAGTCTCTACTAAAAATGCAAAAATTAGCTGAGTGTCATGACAAGTACCCATAATCCCAGCTACTCAGGAGGCTAAGTAGGAGGATCGCTTGAGTCCCTGGAGGTGGAGGTTGCAATGAACTGAGATCATGCCACTATACTCCGGCCTGGGTGGCAAAGTGACACCCTGTCTTAAAAAAAGAAAAAAAAAAGGCCAGGCGCGGTGGCTCGCACCTGTAATCCCAGCACTTTGGGAGGCTGAGGCAGGTGGATCACCTGAGGTCGGAATTCAAGATCAGCCTGACCAACATGGTGAAACCCCATCTCTACTAAAATACAAAAAATTAGCCAGGTGTGGGGGTGCATGCTTGTAATCTCAGCTACTCCGGAGGCTGAGGCAGGAGAATCGCTTGAACCTGGGAGATGGAAGTTGCAGTGAGCCAAGATCGAGCCATTGCACTCCAGCCTGGGCAACAAGCGCGAAAACTCCATCTCAAAAAAAAAAAAAAAAAGAAAGAAAAAGAAAAGAAAAAACTGCTCCTAATATGCCTTTCCCAGTGCTCTAGTCTGCACCCATGCCCTGTCACGCCAGCGACAAGATCCTTTTGTTACCAGAAAGGGGTTCTGATCCAGACCTCAAGAGAGGGTTCTTGGACCTGGCACCTTGCGGGGAATCCATAAAGTGAAAACAAGTTTATTAAGAAAGTAAAGGATAAAGAATGGCTACTCCATTGGCAGAGCAGCCCCGAGGGCTGCTGATTGGTTATTTTTATGGATATTTCTGGATTATATGCCAAACAAGGGGTGGATTATTCATGAGTTTTCTGGGAAAGGGGTGGGCAATTGCCAGAACTAAGTGTTCCTCCCCTTTTTAGACCATGTAGGTTAACTTCCAGTTGCTACCATGGCATCTGTAAACTGTCGCGCGCTGGTGCGAGTGTCTTTTAGCATGCTAATGCATTATAAATAGTGTATAACAAGCAGTGAGAAAAACCAGAGGTCACTTTTGTCGCCATCTTGGTTTTGGTGGGTTTTGGCCGGCTTCTTTACTGCATCCTGTTTTATCAGCAAGGTCTTTGTGACCTGTACCTTGTGCCCACTTCCTATCTCGACCTGTGACTTAGAATGCCTAACCTCCTGGGAATGCAGCCCAGTAGGTCTCAGCCTCGTTTTACCCAGCCCCTGTTCAAGATGGAGTTGCTCTGATTTAAATGTCTCTGACACTTTGGAAAACGACTTCAGACCGAGCCAACACACTTCCCCTATGCTGCAGATCTTGTTTCTGTGGTGAGAAAAGAACTTTTACCTGAGGAATGCGAGTCCTGTAAGTTATCAGGCCCAGAGAGACATTAAAATAAGACAGCAATCACGTCCTACTCCCACTTTGAGTTATGTATTTATGTCTTGAAACTGCTTGCTATTGCCACAGGTAGCTATAACCTAACAATGCTGCACTGGACACCATATCTTACATCCTATAGCACTGTACAGCCAATCACTAATCAATGTTATTTCTGTAAACCAATGAGAATTTCTGACAAACAACTTTGTATCAGCCCACTCCCTGTCCTCCTTTTTCTGCCTTTAAAAACCTGTTTGTAACAAAGAGAGAAGGGAGCTCACATCCAAGATTACTTGCGTCTGAGTCTTTTGGGCAGCTGTCCTCATTTTGGCTCAAGTAAACTGTTTAACTTATATTTTGTGCCTTGGCACCTTCTTGTTTTTTTTAAGATGAAGTGGTGCTCTGTCGTCCAGTCTGGAGTGCAGTGGCACATTCTTGGCTCACTACAACTTCTGCCTCCCAGGTTCAAGCAATTCCCCTGCCTCAGCCTCCCGAGTAGCTGGGATTACAGGTGAGCACCACCATGCCCAGCTACATTTTTTGTATTTATAGTCGAGATGGGGTTTCACCGTGTTGGCCAGGCTGGTCTTGAACTCCTGACCTCAAGTGATCCACCCACCTTGGCCTCCCAAAGTGTTGGGATTACAGGTGTAAGCCACCACGCCCAGATGGCTAGCAACTTCATTTTAGATGAACAGGAGGTGGCCCGTGTGGTGGCTCACACCTGTTATCCTAGCACTTTGGGAGGCTGAGGCCTCCTAATCCCAGGAATTTGAGAGCAGCTTGGGCAACATAGCCAGACCCTCATCTCTACAAAAACACTTAAAAATTAGTCAGGGGTGGTAGTGCGGGCCTGTGAGCCCAGTTACTGGAGAAGCTGAGGCAGGAGGATTGCTTGAGCACAGGACTTTGAGGCTGCAGTAAACCGTGGTCATGCCCCTGCACTTCAGCCTGGGCAACAGAGCAAGACCCTATCTCACACACACACAAATTTTTTAAATTAAACAAATAGATCAACAAGAGGTACAGAGATAGGACCTGTCTGCCAACTCCTCCTACTTGCCCTAAGACAGCCTCGAACTTGTGAAAAAGGCCAGAGTGGACGCAGAACTCTCAAGGGGCTGCACCAGACTCCCTTATTGCAGGAAGACCTGCTGGAGAAGGTGTATAAGTGGGATCCTGGAAAAAACATAGGAGGTCCCCAGATAGACAGCAGAAGGGCTTTCTTGCAGATGGACATGGCATGTACAGCGGTGCAGAGGTGTGAGTGTGGAACAAGCCTGGGACCCACAGAATGTTCTAGAATTTTCTTTAATTGGAGCCTCTTCTCCTTTCAGTCAGTGCGGAGTTGGAAGACCCAGAAGAGGTTTCTTCTGAACTTTTTTTTTTTTGAGATGGAGTCTTGCTCTGTTGCCCAGGCTTCTCCTGCCTCACCCTCCCAAGTAGCTGGGAGTACAGGCGTACACCACCACACCCAGCTAATTTTTGTATTTTTAGTAGAGACAGGGTTTTACTGTGTTGGCCAGGCTGGTCTCAAACTCCTGACCTCAGGTGATCCACCCACCTTGGCCTCTCAAAGTGCAGGGATTACAGGCTTGAGCCACAATGCCTGGTCTCTTCTGAACCGCTTGTCTCCAACAACACCTCTAGTTTTGTGTGATTTCAAAGGAGTTCATTGATTTATCAAAAAATGTTTATTGAGATGTAGGATGAATAAAACACAGCTTCTGTCCCAAGGGGCAGACTGGGGCAGCCCACAGCAGCAGGCACTCATCCCTATCAGAGGCCGTTCCTACAGGGCACAGTGACTCAGTCGGTGAGGCTCTGGACCATTTTCCCCACACGTCCAGGCCAAGGGCACTGTCCTGAAGTAAACGTTACTAATGATCATTATTAATTACCAGACCGACATGATGTCACTAGCAGCACAGTCTCTGTCTGTGTCGATAGCCACATCAAACAATGAATTTTAATTTATCACAATGTCCTGACCATTCATCAAACTGCTGTCTGTGGATCCCAGGAGACAGAGTTTATTGGCAAATATCCGTGGAGTCCACTAAGTTTAAGGCCTAGAGCCAGATATGGGGTCCTAAGGAAGCAAGACAAGGTCACTGCCCTTAAGGAATTTGAGATTCATTGGAGGAGAGGGGTCAACACTGCATTAACCATGCAGCAATGTGAGAATGTGTAAGAGACAGAGGGGGTTGAGGGAGGGATGGATTACCTAAGGGAGTGGGCAAGGAGAGGGGACAACAGTGACAATCAGAGCTGTCCTGGACCAGGTGCCCTGTGTCAGGCCTGTGCCTGAAGCTTGACCTCTGTGGCCTTGGTTTTCACAGTAGCCCTGTAGAACTGGAATTCAGAGGAGACCTGAGTAGGGACTTGAAGGAGGAGCAGGATTGCTCCAGGTGCAGAAAGCAGGGTCACCCCAGGCAGAGACAACCATGTGGACACCATGGGGTGGCTGATCAGCCCTTCACGCCAGGGTGTGACCTACAGTGAGGCTCCACGTCCCTGCCACCTGGCTAGAATGGGCTTTAGGGGAGAAAACTAGGATTGCATTAGTGCTTCCAGGTAGCAGTGAGCCCCAGGCTAAGGTATCAGGGCCCAAAGAGACAGGAATTCTGAAAAAAATACAGAGGAATCGTCAGAAGCATTTGAACGAGAGCAACTCTATCTTGAATAGGGGCTGGGTAAAATAAGACTGAGACCTACTAGGCTGCATTCCCAGGAGGTTAAGCATTCTTAGTTACAGGATGAGTCAGGAGGTTGGCATGAGATACAGGTCACAAAGACCTTGCTGATGAAACAGGATGCAGTAAAGAAGCCGGCCAAAACCCACCAAAACCAAGATGGCAACAAGAGTGACCTATGGTCAGAAAGGGGGAGGAACACTCACTTCCAGGAAATCCCCGCCCCTTTCCTGGAAAGTTCATGAATAATCCACCCTTTGTTTAGCATATAATCAAGAAATAACTATAAGTATACTCAGTCAAGCAGCCCATGCCACTGCTCTGCCTATGGATTAGCCTTTCTTTTATTCTTTTACTTTCTTAATAAACTTGCTTTCACTTTACTCTGTGGCTTCACCTTGAATTCTTGTGTCTTGCTCGAGATCCAAAAACCCTCTCTTGGGGTCTGGATTGGGACCCCTTTCCGGTAACAGAATTAGGGTGAATATGTACATGCATAGGCTTTGCAAAATCTATCTATCCACCTGAAATAATCAAAAGGTTCAGAATTCAATTTTAAATAGTTTATGCAAGTGAAAAGCTGGGAGTAACCACCTGAGAAACACAGGCACCAGAGAAATGGGGCCAGTGCTCCAAAGTTGAAAGTTAAGGTCTTTCTCATCCTGGTCGGCTTGGGGGAAAACCAAAAAAGTTAAGGTTTAGCTTATATAGGCAGGAAACAAATACATTTAGTAGGATTATAACATTTTCTGCAACAGGCTTGTTTATGAGTTACAACAGTTAGTTTTTCTTTTCCATAGAGCTTGTTTTCTTTACAACTTTTTATTTCCTTTCCAATTGAGAGGAGTGTATTTAACATCCCATCTTAGACAACGTGATAGTCATGAAGTCTTTGTATAGAAAGTTAATCTGTAATGGCCGGGCACGGTGGCTCACGCCTGTAATCCCAGCACTTTGGGAGGCCAAGGTGGGTGGATCACTTGAGGTCAGGAGTTTGAGACCAGCCTGGCCAACATGGTGAAACTTTGTCTCTGCTAAAAAATACAAAAATTAGCCAGGCATGGTGGCGGGTGCCTGTAATCCCAGCTACTTGGGAGGCTGAAACATGAGAATCACTTGGACCCAGGGGCGGAGG